>NC_000003.12:85464545-85767575 GCF_000001405.40 Homo sapiens
TGAGTCCATGAATTTCTCCCCGCTAAGTCTATTTCTTGCCCCATTTTAGGCAGATGAAAGAATAATAAAAATGATTTTTCTCTCCGTTTAAAGGCATAGTTTATATGAAGATACAATTCGTTTCATCATATATTACATCACATAATACCAATTTTAAAGCTCTGTAGTTAAAGGAAATATGCAATATATTCAGTGTTTTCGTGTAGAAAATACTTTTTAATCCTAAAATAGATAAATTTAGTTTGGTTGATTAGATGTCTTACAGTAATATTCTCTGTACTCCAAAATCAATATATAGTCAATTGGCTTTAAGACATACTTTTGGCCAAGCTCAGTGGCTCACGCCGTAATCTCAGCACTTTGGGAGGCCGAGGTGGGTGGATCACAAGGTCAGCAGATCAAGACCATCCTGGCTAACACTGTGAAACCCCGTCTCTACTGAAAATACTAAAAATTAGCCGGGCGTGGTGGCACACGCCTATAGTCCCAGCAACTCGGGAGGCTGAGGCAGAAGAATTGCTGGAACCCAGGAGGGCAGAGGTTGCAGTAAGCTGAGATCGCGCCACTGCACTCCAGCCTGGGAGACAGAACGAGACTCTGTCTCAAAACAAAACAAAACAAAACAACAACAACAAAAACAAACAAACAAAAAACATACTTTTGTGTGCGTATAATCATAAGGCAATATTAACAAGCAAATCAGATCTTGTCGCATAAGATGTGGAACACACCTTTGCTTAAGTACTATTTGAAAAACTAGAGATATCTGGTTTGAGATATAATCATCTTTAGTATTTGCCACTACCATCGACCACCTGGGAATGCAGTAAAATTAAGAAGTACATTTTGATGAACAAAATAATAACTAATGAGTAATTTAAAAAGTCAACGAACACATATTATGTATAAGTATACAACATTTTGTTCATAAGACCTTTTCACCAACTCCAAATTTATATATATTAAGTACCATCATGTCACTATTTTTGTGAGTCATATTCACCTGGAAAAAATATAAATTATTAGATATTTTATATTTTACCAATTTGGAAATTAAGATGAGAATGTTTTTGTGCTTAAATTTTATCTTTGTCCAAAAAGATATCCATGAAGATTATAGGCGTGTTACATTTATCTTTGTTGTTTTCTACTCTTTCCCTGCAGTGAGAGGACTAGTCAAATGCTTCTTATTGCCAATCATGAGAACTACACATATTAATAATAGATGGAAAAGCTTACAGAATTAAATGAACACAGTGACTTAGTGTAATACATAGGGGCTGTATCTTTGTTGACTAGTTGATGTTTATCTAAGCGCAGGAAGATTATCTGAAGACCATTACCGAAAGTATGGAAAATAGGATCTTTTCTAGAAGCAAAGAATTGCTATCATATGAAGTGCTTGCATTTATTTGTTAAAGCAAGTAACACTACATTCTCCAGAGGAGAATATATTTGATCTTCCACTGAACTATCTTATATCCTTGTGGATAAATCGTTTTCTGTATGACTAGATATAATTCTAAATACCACGTGCTTGTCAGATCCATGAAGTGACTTGGAGAAAGCCTTATTTTCAAAATTATCTTGTCAATTTCATTGTGACAGTAGCAGAAGCAGGTAGCAGTAGTTTTCTTCTGATTATGTTAAAATCTCATCTATTATTTAGTTTAAAGCTGACAGCATATATTAAGGCTTAATGAACACTTTCAGTAATTTCAGACTAAATTTATCTTCCCCAATTTTATACGTTTTTGTCATTTGTGGGTTATAATTTGATCAAAGGTTAATTTCAGGAGGAGTTTTTCCAAATTATTTCAACATTAAAAAAGTAGAGAGTGAATTTTTGGGAAATCTATCCATGTGAAACTATTTTTAGCAGAAGTTAAATGATAAGACACACGCTAAAAACGCTTTGCCTTTTTTGCAGTGGAAGAATAAGGTAGTTGCCATTTTTGTCCATATCTGGTAGTCACAACTCTAGCTTGACTGCTACATGCCCATGCCAGTCACCCCTATTCATAGAATATAGTTTCAATCTCAATATAAAACATTAGATTTTAATGCTATATGAAATCATGTCAGATTAATTGCATACATAAAAATAGGAAGACATATTTAGGCAAAGATACGTTTAGGAGATAAACATTTTGCCAATAAAAATAAAATGTAATTCAGTTCTTTTTTCAAATTTTTAACAAAAAAAAATTATTACCTTGCTGTATTTTTTTTTCAACAGTTTCCCCCCATTGGATAGTATCAGCTGATAGAAAATATTTTCAGACAGTCTTGGAAAATGTGAATTCCTTGAGCTAGGAAGAAAGAGAAATTGCTTTTACTTTTCTCTCACATTCTTTCTTGGAACTAACTTAACATTTTGATCCAGCAGAGAATTGGCCTCCTGTAGCCAAGACTATGAATAACTACCAGCTTCAATACTTTTCTAGAATTCTGTAAATTTTATGTGGAAAACAGTGTCACAGTACACATATTGGGGTTAAAATTCCTCTTAGACAGATGCACCATCTAAATTCTTATAGCAACTACCCTATGTTGACTACAAGAGATATAGTTTTATTATTATGTAAAAGCATTGGAAACTAGAATTAGTCAGTTAAAAACAAAACTGAACTTCAGCAACAAATCATGGAGAATGTAGATATTTTTAAACTACTCCTTAGGTGACATAACTTGTCATTTAATGTGTCATTGCTGTAAAATACTTATATCTAGAATTTAGAGTTTTGGTATGTTGTATTTATTAAACTTCTTTTTGTATCATTTATTACCTATTAAAATACTAGCAAATAGATCAAAAATGCTTGTTATATTGATTCTATGAAATGCATAACATATTATAATATGGAACACCTCAAATATTGGAAATTTAAGGATGATAGCTCTTGCTGGTAACTTGTCACAAAGCTACTCTGTAAATTGGATGTTTATGTCAAATTTACAATGACCAGAAAATGTGATGTATTAATATCCTTGAGAAATGATAGAGACGTCATGAAAGTCAAGCAAATACCAACACTACAGGACATAAAAATTAAAAGGCTAATTAAAAAAAAAACACTCTGTTAACTTTTGAAAGATTCATTTGGTATTCTAAAGAAATTACTAATTGTGAGCTAAAATAGTGTTTTCTCCCATATTGGAAATATGTCAAAAGACATAGTAGGACTGGTCAAATTCATTCACACATACACCATTTTATCTTAATTATTATCTTGTTTGTACTCCTCAAAGGCCAACCCTGATGTAGAGATATGTGTGAAAGCACAGCAGGTCCTGAAATAAGACAGTTTCATTCGACACTGTTTCTGTTATAACATTGAGGCAGCGCCTGTAATCCCAGCACTTTGGGAGGCCGAGGCGGGCGGATCACGAGGTCAGGAGATCGAGACCATCCCGGCTAAAACGGTGAAACCCCGTCTCTACTAAAAATACAAAAAATTAGCCGGGCGCAGTGGCGGGCGCCTGTAGTCCCAGCTACTTGGGAGGCTGAGGCAGGAGAATGGCGTGAACCCGGGAGGCGGAGCTTGCAGTGAGCCGAGATCCCGCCACTGCACTCCAGCCTGGGCGACAGAGCGAGACTCCGTCTCAAAAAAAAAAAAAAAAAAAAAAAAAAAACATTGAGGCAGGAAAACTAATATCGATTCCTGGCTGAGACCACTGTCTGTTGTTTGCATGTTCTCCCTGTGTCTGCATGGGTTTTCTGCAGGTACTCTGGTTGCCTCCCCCGTAGAGAAGATGCTCACATTAGGTGAACTGTTGTGTCTAAGCCCCCAGTCTGAGTTAGTGTGGGTGTGTGGAGTGTGCCCTGTGGTGGGATGGTGTCCTGTCCAGAGCTGTCTCCCCGCTTGCACTCTGAGCTGCTAGGAGAGGCTCTTGCCATTTGTGATACTGAAATGGAAAAAACCATCAAATAATCACCTTACTTGTTATTAATCATTCTTAAGTGAGTATATAGTTCACATTTATTTCAATGTTTAATGTTAAAAGTATTTGGGGACTTTTTAAAGAAATTACTGATCTTTTTTTGACCAGAATATGCCATAAGAACTTAACTCTTGTTTATATCAATTAGCCTATAGTATAAATTTGGTTTCATTATACATCATTTCACTCAAAGTCACAGTTTCCAGGACCCCGTGGGATACATTAAGTGGGGACTTACTGTAATATATTTGGGTGGTGATACCAGAATACACTAGTCATAGAGTAAGGAAGTAATTCTGGTAAGGGATAAAAGTTAAAGTGAGATGTGCTAACGAGCAGATCACCACTGTGGGCAACTGGAGCTCAGACTTATTGGCAGCCCCTGGGAGAATGTAGAGAACCCAGCTCAGAGTTGTCCTATCCAGGGGCAAGAATGTTTGATGTTGGTGGATATGTATTTACCTCTCAATTTGTCATTGGTTGAAGACTCTTCATGGGGAGGGAAAATAATTACCTGCTATTCTAGCCTGCCTTACAGCACACTTCAGGCCACCACAAGTCAGAGAAAGCTTTTTAGGCTTAAAGTTGCAAGAGTTTGCAGTGCAAATGCAAAGTGTCAGACTCTGGGCTTATCAGCAAGGGCACATACCACAGCCTCTGCTAAACATGGAATATGAGAGTTTTTGATATGGGAGTGGGTGGAGTCAATTTCTTTTATAGATATTTATTTAGCGACTACTCTGTAAAACAGTATAATCAAATTATCTGTGGAAATGGGCAAAAGTGGTGCAGTAATTTAAAATCAAATGTCACACATAATGGCACCTGGGAAACAGGAATGTATTAGTAATGCAAGGGAGCTGGAGCCAAGCAGGAAGCCAGTCATCAATGTAGACAAGGGTGGGAACATAACAGAAAAGACGGGCCCTGTGTGGACAGACACGCCATGCAGGAATGGCCTCCAAATGGACCCAATAGTTTAATTCAAATGATAGGAGTGGCCAGAGCTCAATTTATTCAAAGAGCACCAAATATGATTTATTTGGGGGATCAGTCAGGAATGAGCATTCCTCTAGGAACTTTGTAAGCAAGAGAAAGGGGGAGAAATACAATTTAAGTTAAGAAAATAGTCAAAACCTATCAGATGGGATGTGATTCAGGGCAGAGCTGAAGTGCTTGATGAGAGAGAAGTTATAGGGTATCATGCATTATCACCATTGGCAATTACAAAGAAAACCAGAAAAAAACTCCTGTCCTTCCAAGTAGGCTAAAATTGACTGTAGTATGTTAACTCCAAGTGTTAACACAGTCAGTTTATTCACAAAAGTGTTGCAGGTGCCTACAACTCTATCTGGCACGTGGGAGGTGCCCAATGAGTATTATAAGGATGGACAAATAGAGATACTCTGATTTGTTTCCTGATATGTTGGGTCCTGGGAGTGATGGAGCATGACAAGCCAGGAAAATAGCGTTTTTGGAAGGGGAGGTGATGCTGGAGGGAAGCGGAGTAGGAATTCAGCTGAGATGCTCAATCCTCAATACTGGAGAGTGGTTTAATTCAAATTTCTGTTGGATTTAATAATGTCTATTTATATTTGATTTACCTTCAGGTGTCCAATAAACAGACTTAATAGTTTGGATTGCAGAATCTCAGAAAAATGATACAATTATTATCTAACAGTGCTTTTGGAGAACTCACAAAACTTGTTATGGATACAAACAGTGTTTATATTCTCATAATCAAATAACAATGCGAAGAATATATGCATCTTAAGGTGGTGATGCAAATTCATATAAGGAGTTAGCAAGCAAGGGCCATGTGGTCTGAAATATGTGTCCTGGGAATACAGGTAAAAAGACAGGATGTTGGGATAGCTTTCAAAAACTTAAAGACACTTAAGTCTATGTGCTGAAATATAGTAGATCTTTGTGTTTTAGTAGAAAAGGAAAACAAGAAAAGAATTCAGACAGGAATTACATAGGGTTTTATTAGAGTGCAATTTAGGGAAGACTTTGTGAGAGTTCAATAGTCTGAAATGAAAACTATATGAATGGGTATCCTCCCAATTCTGGAAATGATCAAAGAGTGACTACGTGATTTTTTGGATAGATAAAATAAAATTCTAGCAATTAATTATATACAATAAAAACATTCTCCCAAGTTATTTATAACTTTAAAATTTATCATTCAACTATTTAAGGAATGTGTTGCTGGATTTTACATTGAAAAACAGCTAGAGTGGCACAAACAGGGAAACTATTTGGTCTGAAAACCAAGAAACTCAGACATAAAGAACATAACTTAAAGGAAGGTTTCTTCATTTCTAGCTTCCTCATTTATCTCTCAAAGTTCAACTGCATATGTTCCACCCTTAGAAAAAGTTTAGTGTTTAAAATATTGTCATAACCAATTAACTGGAAAAATATATTTTGTTTTGTGATATATTTAAAATAACTTGAAAATACAGGCAAATTCCACAGCTGTATGCTGCAGATTTATTGTTTAATCATGGTATTTTTACTCACTATGAAATTCTGTGGATGCCTGTACCACTTAGGAAACAAACTAAAGCTGCTCTAACAAGGACATTTCAAAATATACTATTTTAAAGCACTTGGAGTTTTATGTCTGTCTTAAAATAGCCTAAAAGTGAGCATTCCAAGATGTAGGGGTGGCTCAGTTTCGCGTCATCACTCAGGGATCCAGGTTTCATCTATCTTGTCCCTCTACCATATTCCAGGATATTGCCATCTTCTCCACTTGGTTCAAATTTGGTTCATCCATTGTTCCAGCTTCCAGGAAGTAGAAAAGAGCTTGGGAGAAAACAAGATGAAAGTGTTAAGTCTCACTCAGACTAGAAGTGATATCCTTTACTTCTGCTCAATTCTATCAACACAAACTTAATAACAACTAACTTCAAGGGAAGCTGACAACCATCTGCCTTGTTAAAATTATATTAGTGAAAAGACAGAGAAAACCAAATGTAGGTGGACCATAAGCAATCTGTGCCAAAGACTCAAAATAAAAGGCAGAACGTGAGGTATCAAACTGCTCAAATCATCAGGGTGCTGGAATTTTTTAGTTAGATTTTCCTAAGACTTTTCATCTTCTGGTTAACAAAGAAACTTTAAAAAATTCCATAGTTAATTTAAGAAAAAATCTAACTGCGTTTGTTTTTCCTGGTTATATTTTTAGCATTTTATTTTATTTTATTTTATTTTATTTTATTTTATTATACTTTAAGTTCTGGGGTACATGTAAGTTTGTTATACAGCTGACAGAGACAAAATATCACTGACAGTGGAAAAATACAAAAGTCAATATTTTTGTTAAAATTCTTATAATATCTATATTTTAAAGATTAACATAAATTTGTACCTATAAGTAGTTCTCAATTCTAATAAAACCAGGCCATTCTATTCTTTATACATTATCTCTAGTTTAGGGATCTAAGGAAGTCCCAATTCAAATTAAATGTGTTCAATCTCTACGTAAGTGTAGTGAGACTCTTAGTGTAGTAAAAGTTTAGTGAAGAGAACCTTGAAATATAACTTGATGAAAGAAGCTTGAAGTCTATCTAAAGTATTCCAGACTTTTCTCTTATTTCTTCTGGGGACATTTTTAATGGAATAATTTATTTTTAATTATATATTTGTACACCATAGCCTTCTGCTACTTCTCAAAAATTCTTTTTTACTTAATATCATGAACATACTTTGTATTTTTAAATTATTTGTTGATCTAGGTCATTTAGTTGAGTGTTAAAATATTTTGCCAAATAAATAAATATTCATATAAAAATTTCAAATAAAAATATTTGAATTTTTGCCAAACTTTTAAAAAATTATTTTTACTTTCCTTGAGGGAAAAGTATAAGTTGTGTTATTCATACACACACGCACCCACACAGAAACACACATACACAGAGTGATATATAGATAGAAAGATACATTTACATGTAGATACCGATGAGGATATATACATTTCTACTCTGTGTTCTCATATATTATTTATTATGACATTTTGGGTAATGCTAGAAATACAATATACTTTCGTTGAAATTATAAATCTAAATGTGAAAATTTCAGATGATAAATTTCAGCAATATGTTTAACATGTTAACTATTATTCTCCTTTGGCTTGGATAATTTGGAACTGGTACCATGTTATCTATAATGGGAGAGATGAATAGCATTACTTGAAAGCCTAGTCTGCTCCATTGGCTCTGCATACGTCTTATTTCTACTCACTAAAACTACACATGGTAGATCCTATTATTGTCACTCATTCTCTCTCTCTCTGTCTCTAATCGATGGAAAATGAAATCTTAAAGACATTAAGTAATTGACAATTTTACCGAGCTAGGAGTGATAGAGTAACTGGCTTTAAAATGTAGTCTTCTGTTCTATTAATATCACAATACGTGTAGTCCCTTTGTAAACCACTGCTAAATTTCCATTTGCATGTTGAACCATCAGTTTCTTACACAATTATAACAATTATGTCAATTTTCTCTATCATATATATGTAATGAATATGATATATTGTTCTTATATGCAAAACAGAATGTAAGCAATAAACAGAAGTTAACTTCATTACCTACACATTTATTTCGTTGAATTTAAATTGCCAGTTACTACAATGTGTTACTTTCCTTTGAAAATGAGTATCATTCTTCCAAAATTCTACCATTTAAAATGGAATTCATTGAAATGAATAATTGTATGAATTATTTTACTGAGCACAGTGAGAGATAACGAAGGAGGTAACAATCATAGCAGAAATGCATCAATATTAAATATTTACTGCATAACTCATTCTTATTGGACACAGCTGTCGATAAAATATGCCTTTACTCTTGACAAGTAGCTCCTGTGTTTTGCTTGTAGATGAGCTTGCAGCCCTGCTCTGTATTCTTTATCTTCATCACTGCACCAGTCTTTTAATTAGGCAGTGAAATCATCTGCATAGTGATTAGGAAATCACAGTTAAGAAAGCGTTACAAAGAGATGTTTCTGGAAGCGCTTTGCTTTGGAAATTCCTCCATGTTCAACATCAAGGAAACATATTCAGACAAATGACATTCAGGTCATCAGGTTTACCAAATCTTCACTCCTGAATCCTCAAATGTTGGAGGAACTAGAAAAAGTCTTGAGCCTGTCTAACAAATAACAGCAACTTCATTATTTAACCTGTGAAATGAAGGTAGTGAAGAACTTTGTGTTATAATTTATACCGATTTTTATATTCAAAAGAATATTTCATCTTATGCAAATGATTGTGTTACTATTGTAGGTTCATATATTGAAAATATACTATAGGATATTAAGTACAGTGGCCCATGCCTGTACAACTTTTTTGTGACTGTAGTCACAAAACCTAAAGTCAAATCCAGCAATGCCTCTTGTTAACTTGTGAATGCAGATATTTTATTTATCTTCTTTTAGCTAGTTTCCTTATTTATAAAATATGATTAAATATATTCTCTTTCTTGCATTCCCTAAATATTGTTGCAATGATTAAGTGAAGTTTTACTCATGAAAGTAATGAACAACTTCTTAAATGATAACATGTAATATTAAAAATTATTATAATTATATTCTCAATATTTGTATTAGTTAGGGATCTCCAGAAAAATAGAACCAACAGGAGGTTTGTGTGTGTGTGTGTTGTGTGTTTATGTTGTGTTTATGTGTGTGTAGTGAGGGATTTATTTTAAGGGATTGGCTGGCTCATGGGATTGTGGATGGTTGGAAAAGCTGAACTCTGCAGAGTAGGCTAGAGACCTAGGTAAGTGTTGAAGTTGGAGTCCGAAGAGAGTCTCTTGGCGGAAGTCCTTCTTACTGACAGGAGGCCAGTCTTTGTTTTAATTCTTTGTTCTGTTGAGAACACCTGACTCGATGAGGCCTACCCACGTCATATTCATTATGGAAGGTAATCTTCTTTCCTCCCAGTCTACCTATTGAGATGTTAATTTCATCCATAAAGCACCTCCACAGATACATCCAGAATAATATGAGACCAAATAGCTGGGCCCCATGGTGCAGCCAAGTTGACACATACAATTAAGCATATCATTACCTAAATGAGTGATTAAAACACTCCCAAAAATATTTCAATTATTTCCTCAAATTACATGTTTGAAACATGATTTATATCATTAATTATCTAGTGCCAGAATAAAATTTAAAACCTTGATTGTGTGAGTGTGTGTGTGATGATATCCACTTAGAGGGTTGTTATACAAATTTAATGACTGGGTCTGTGTAAACACTTAACATGGTGCTGACACATTTTAAGGATTTAATTTGTGTTATATATTATTATCATTGTAAAATGACAGAGCTTATATGTGCCATGGCTGTAAATGGTCACCTCCTTCCTGGTCAATAAAGGTGCTCCATGTGTTGATAGTCTTCATAAACTACAGACTCAGCATCCTCGAATCTCAAGGAAAGATTTTATAGACATTGCTCTGAGCAAAATCACAGTAACACACCACCGGCACAATCATGAAACTCTCAGATCCACCTTGAGATTAAGAAAATAATTTTTCTTGGAAAACATAAAGCAACCAGGGAGGTGGTGGTTAAATGCTTAGGACAATTTTTTCCTCCCATGGAGTCTGTTTTCTGGTGTTTTGTGGCAATATATAGATTAGACAAATGTTCAGATTATTTTTACTTGACTTTAATGTTGGAATAGTGAGCATAAAATTCATACAAATTAGATAATTGAGGTACTCAGACCTTTCCAGCTGAGGCTTTGCCTCAATCTAATTGTGATAGGAAGATACAGGTGTGTGCATCTGGCTAGTGTGGGCCTGGCCTCCTATCTATCCTATCCAGCTCTGTGACTTTACCAATTAGTATAATATGTTGGCTAAACTGTATGCCCAAATATAAGATAATTCATTCCTACAAAAATATTGAATTAAAATTGTCATTGTCTAAATATAATTTATTTATTTGTCATTTATGGGAATAAATTTTGGAAAGACTCATCTTTTTTCAGATTCTCTTTACATTTTTCATGACCCGTTTATTTGATTTAGGATGACTCATAACGTAGTCATTACTTATCATGTGTCTGAAATAAGTTTCTATTAAACTATCATTAATCTTATATAACAAAGCATCTGATTACTTGATTAAAGACTAAATTAATCTATAAATAGTCTCACCAAATTGTTTATAAATATTTTGAAACAATACATTATATTTATCCAGCAATTTAAAGTGCTCAGAGAGCAAAAACAAAACTTAATTTCTAAGATGAATGGAAATCTACATTTATGAAGGAAATTTTAAGATCCAGGCACTGTTCCTAGATGTTTTATGTTTCTAAACGAATTATTATAGTTTCATTACCTCAATTAAAATCAATTGATATACTTTATTAATTTGCCTATCTAGAAATGCTCAAAATATTCAGATTGAAATGTCTCATGTTAATTGCACACAAGTACTTAAAAAGAAATAAAAACATTGCAGAAAATAGAATTCCTGCCTATCATCTAAATAAGACAAACTAATGAATCATTGAAGAAAAATTGTCTGCAGGTTGTCTATATTTCAATCTAATTAAACACTACTTCAAATGATTCACCAGTCTATTGAGATGTCTGTTTTTACCAAAAAGGGATTTGCCTCAAGAGACCTGACAAACTGAAAAATAAATTTCATCTATTGGTCAAAGTCATATAGATATGTTGACATACAAAGTTTTGATAACTGTTATAAAAAGAGATCTTCTTCATACATCTTTATAAATTGGGGAAGAGACATGTAGCACAATTTGAACTTGTCTTCTGGCCATAGAGTTGCATATAAATACCTTCCCTGTATTAAACTCTAAATGTTAGAGTTTAGCACCCCATGTCTTTTTAAACAATACACATATTGAAGAAAATATTTCTCCATTTTAAAAAATGATATTCTTTAAAAATAAATATAGCAGAGTGGCAAAGAAGAACGTAGAAATATCCAATTGCAGAGGGAAGATGAATACATTCAGCCTCTATTTTGTTTCTAATTCACTCTTTTATGAGTTTTTTCATGTCTTGTGCACATTACCTATTGCAGTCCAAGGTCAATGATTTGCCAGTGCACTAAAAGATAGCAGAGAAAAGCAAATTCTGCAAACCGCTCAACCTGTTAAAAGTCTATCCCTTCATTTTTAAGAATTAGTTGCAAAACAAAGAGTAAACTATTATTTTTAACGCATGGCTTGCAAAATACTTTAGATCCACAGAAGGAGCAGAATCTATTTTTAATCTCTGTATCCCTGAAAAATACACCATGCTAGTTTTATCTATGTGTCATTAATCTATCTTCCTACCTTCTATCTTTAAACATACCAATAAGACCTTAAGAGTTGCAATATAGTTAATAGCAAAGATTTTAAACACACACACACACACACACACACACACACAGATCTATTTTCTGGGCAGTCACAGTGGTCTGACATACAATCATCTCTCTATTGCAGCATTCAAAATGAACATATAGAAATGCTCTTTAAGGACACTGTATTTTCAGCTCATGTGGTTTGCAGCATGTTACATTGAGCAGCAGATTAGTAGCTTGATTAGTTAAGACTTTTGCCTGAAGGCATGACCACTGGGTATGTGTTTCCCAAACCTCGAGAGGCAAGAATACCACACTGTCAAAAAACCATCTGTTTCTTTTTTCTTAATGACTCCAAAATTTTAAAAGTTCACTTGTTAGTGGTTAACTGATTCCCTTAAACACACACACACACACACACACACACACATACAGACACGTATTAGTTATTTATAGAAAATCTTCTATTAATAGTTCTTTACTTCAACACTTGGCTTGTCAACATTCTTACATATCCAAGGAGAGAGATTTAAGAAGAAGATTAATATGAAAAAAAAATGTTAAAATTCTTCGAAGTAGAACTAAGTAGTGAGAATTGTAACCAAAGGTACTTCAGAATATATACAGGACTTTTCACAGATGATGGAAAAGTAGAATAGATCATCTTTTCCCTTATGTATTATTTTTATTTTCCCTGTTCTCATACGGCTTACATTTTAGGAGAGACAGCCAAAGCAAAAGAAAATACAGGATCAAGATACTGCTGTGCAGTGTTAAATGCTACAATGGGATAAAATGATTTAGTTAGGTTGACATTTTTCTTTGGGGTCTGTCTGTCTGTAACAGTTCTTTTAATGATCTTGTTTGCACAATCTAGATATTGCATTGTATTTTCCTCTCACCTTCTGTAGGGATGATTAAAGAACTCTGGTCTATGTACAACCAACAAGTCAGATATTCTGACCCCTGAATAATTTAGCAGAAACTCCATCTGGCTGTATCCTCATAAACTAGTGTGTAAATAACACCAGTGGAGGTTTTCAGTAAAGCACTAAAATTCTCAGCTATTTAAAGATCTATTTATTTAAAACATGTTGTTGGAAACTCACTATTAGCAAAATGTGCTTTGAAATAAGAGTTTTTAAAAATATTTTTACTGAACCTTAACATGAGTTTTATAATAAGCTTTTAATATCTTTTAAAATAATATGATAATTTAAAATGAAAGCTCTTCAAAGTACTTTTAGTTTAGAATCATTTCATGGACATCTAAACCTTACGTATATCAGTTATCTATGTAATCTTTTATGCCTTTGATAAGGCTTTCCCACAGCATAATACGTGGTAGTCCAAATGCAAGATTTCCATATAATCTAAAGTTCTCTAATTTGAAATCTAATGAATAAATGCAAAATATTTGTAATGATGTTGAAAAACTCAAATTTTCAAAAATAACAATTGCAACAGCAAAGTGCTAAGCAACATGAAACTCTTTTTGCTGACCTGATATGGAAAAATAAGTGCCATTATTAATGATTTTTATTTTTAAATATTTGAGTAATCTGTCTCTATAGTGTCTCTGAAAACATGAGTATGGTAATATAATGACTGAACAAGATGTTTTTGAGTGGTAAAGATGTTTTGTTGGATCACGTGGCAATGAGATTTGGCACTTCCTTTCATTTTCACAATTTGTTGGAAAAACTGACCAGAAAATAAAATAAAAAATGGGAACTTATCCATTTCCTAAGGTAAGAAGCAACCCAGGGAATTTAATTATTGCAGAAACAAGTTTAATAAGGGATGAGCCTTATAATGTTTTATTGAAATGAAATGCTTTCATTTTCTTAATGCCTTGAAATTACATTGAAATCTGGCGAATTTTAGACTTAGCAAAGCAGCGTGGTAGGCAGTCAGGAGATGGAATAAAGAGAGGCTTTGGATATTGCTAAAGGGAAATCAGCAATAGGAAATAGTATATTGTTATTACTGAAGCTATGAAACACTTCCAATGTGGCATGCTGTATGCTATGTGTTTTAAACATTTATCAGTTACTCCTTTGATGACTTCCATAAGTTATGAAGTTTTGTTTTTATTTTATTTTATTTTATTTTATCTAGAGACAGGGTCTCTCTCTACAAACCAGGCTGAGCACATTGGTGTGATCATAACTAACTGAAGCTTCAACCTCCTGGGCTCAAGGGATCCTCCAGCCTCAGACTCCTGAGTAGCTGGAACTACAGGCATGCAACATCATGCCTGGCTAAATTTTTATTATTTATTTTTGTGTTTTAGAGATGGGATGTCCCTGTGTTGCTCAAGCTAGTGTCCAACTCCTGTAATCCTCCTGCTTCAACCTCCCGAGTACCAGGGTACAATACAATAGGTACTTTTACAATAGATATAATACTCATGGAGTATGAAAATATAACTACTTGTTGGGGAAACTCCCATTTAGTGGACCAACATCAGAAGAAATTCTATTTAAGGAATGTGTTAAATGGAAACTAAGCCACTTTCAGTGCCTATGATATACCAAGCTATGTTAACTGCTCCATGTAATTGTATTACATAAAATCCTTACAACAAACTTTAAAGATGGGTATTTCCTCTTTCTGATTGTTAAGATTAGAGAAATAATAGGTTCAAAAGGATTAAAAAACCTTTGTTAGATCACATAGCAAGAGAGTACTGGAGCAGGAGATTCAGATTCCGATTTGTCTCCTCCCAAAACCCATGTAATTTCATGACACTTCAATGCATCTCCACCACTTCTCTCTTGGATTGAATCTATGATGTCAGTTGTAGGAAATGGTACTTTCTAACTAGTAATTTACCCTAGAAGAAAGACTTGTCAGAGCTATCTTTATAACAGATCTGCCCTAATTATTTAGCTAAGTGGTGCTGTATTAGGCAGTAACTCACTTAAGAATACTTTAATGGGAACCTTGACTCCTAAACTTTGGGAGAAAAGGATATGTCCTGTTTTACTTCAAATTCCCAAATTTCTTATAGAAGTCTAGTTGAATTTGGAATGTAAACAACAATTAACTATTTGTCTGATTATTTGATTTGGAATCTTTCTATATTTGGTTTACCACGTAACTTTCTGGTGGTGAGGGGATATAATATTAGGTGAAGTTTATGTATTTTATACTATTTTTTTTAAACTCTGTGTAGGCCGTATAACTTTAAAAGTTACTTCTAATTGAAGGTTATGGCTTTGAGCTAAAGGTAGTTTTACTGATTTGACAGTGGAGGCAACCAAACTGCATATAAACTGCAGAGATAAATAGGGAGATATATTATTTGAATCATTGTCTATATCACTGTGATCTGACAATTTTGACTACATTTTTCACAAAATAGGTTTAATTAAATAAATTTTGTTCATTACTCCATTATAAATTTAGATTTTCCATAAGCTCCATAAGTTGTTTGTTTTATCAACCATATTGTTTTCATTATAAATATTATATTCAAAAATCAATTTTAAAAGACAATATAATGAGGTGGTTAAAAGCAAGGATTATGTAGGTTTATGTTCAGACTCTGCCATTTCAAATTTGTGACTGTGGGCAAGTTACCATGTGCCTCACATAAGTGCCTTGCCTCATATTTGCGTGACTCAGGCGTTAGTAAAAGGGGGAGAATAATAGTCCTAACTCTAGAGGGTTGTTGAGATGATTAAATGAGCTAATGTCTGTAACATCTTAGAAAAGTACCTGTCCCATTATAAGCATTATAAAGGATTTGCTATTTTCATTTCTGGCCATAACCTTTGAGTATACTGACCTGTTAACCGCTATCCATAGCATATATCATATATTACTTCTTGTGCAGAATCTCATGACCAAACCATTTTGTCTTTAAAGAGAGGGATAATGACATAGGCAATTTACAACAGGTTGCTCATTTCAGTGATTTCAGTTATATGATGAACAATATATAGAATTGCAATGTTTGAGGACAGCAATTATTTTAGGACAGAGTAACACAAAAATAGAAAATAAAAAATCTATAAACTTCTAATATCTCACTTTATTTGGGGTTATCCTTAAAATTCTTTCTTAAGAATATTTATATGAATAATCCTTTTCTTTATTTTTGATAAGAATACATTTTTCTCAGAAAGCATAAGCATTAAATATTTTCTCTCTCAGCACATTTGAAGTCTGAACTTGATTCATCTTTCATCTTTATAATCTAAGGCCTATATTTGCACACAAAAGGAAGTAGCAAAACAGAATAAACATAACAATGTTTTCAATTATCAGTTTAGTATATATTTACTTGTGAATTTTAGTTTCAATGATAAGACATTAATCTTTGAAATGACCATTATACACCCACATACACAGCATATACACAAATTATATATATTGGATATATATATATATATATGTTTTGTATCACAATCAATCAACAGTGTTTAATATTTATATGTGTGATCAAAATAAGTCAAAATCTGTATTAAAAGAGTTAATTTATCACCAATGACCTAGGAAAGTGCTCTCATATTGACAGACAAGTAATTATTTTTATTCCTATTGCTTAAGCCGCTTCCATGAATGCTACAGAGTGAATAGATTCTTATTTAAATGAATAACTTTCTTAGTTGGATACAATCTACTAACAGCATGGCTATTACAGTGGTGAACAGAAAAGCTGGAATGATTTCATTAACAAGTCAGAAAGGGCATTTTGATTTATTTCCAACATGGTAAAGCTTTTGTGATTCCCAGCCATAAACACCGGGTGAGGGGTTGGGGGTGAGGAGGTATGGCACTATAATAATGAAGAGAATTACCACTGAGATTTTAGAGAAGAAAAGCATTTAATATCCCCTAGCACAATGTCAGATTCTTTCAAGCATATTTAAATTCTTGTGCTAGGATTTCTGTCAGCACAAGATACCAATCAAAGTGAAACTTTCTTTTTTCAGATATTCAAAAGAACTTCATTCTTGGTTTTTTTTTTTTCCTTTCTTACTCTTAAAATATAAATACCCTGATGAACACTCTATTGATGTTATTCGTGTTCTTTATGAGTCGGGAAGAAAGTTGTACTTCAAAAGATGCCAGAAAGAAATGAAAATACAAAATAATAAACAGAGATCAATGGGACAGTGTATGCTGTTCTCCTTCCTACTGGGCAGTTTCATATGTCACAAGTGTAAAAGGGAGAAGTGTTCATAAGAATTTGACTCATTATAATAATACATATTAAGAAAAAAATACTTGGTTATTGAAAATGTTTACCGAAATTCAAAATTTGCCTTTATTCCTAGGGCATGCTTATTATTCCATAATGCCGATTTACTGAATCTGTAGCTTGTCTCTGGATATGGAAAATTTTTCACAGGCCTGCTACCAGGAGGCCTGCTACTCTAGCGTGACCTTTATTCCAGATGCAAAAACAGAAATCAACTAAAGTTTCAAGTTCTATATTTAATAAAACAGTTTGGGTTTATTTTGGTGACAGTTGTATTTCTAAGCATCTGAATACACTATAATAGTTTTTGAGAGTTTGTCAGAGACTTTTAGAAATAATGAAATAATTAAAGCCATTTTTTAGTTTCTCTTCTCTTCAATTGATTTTAAAGGCCCTGAGTTACCGAGTAATCTCCTTGACTTACTACTCTCGCTTGTGATGGCTAATTCTATTTTTGCTAAGTGTATTCCTGTGCTGAACTTATGACTGAATAAGGCAAACTGCAACTGTGAGGAATTTATGTAAAGATCTATTTAAACATGTTAGATGTGGTGTTTAGTTTGATATTTTAAAAGAAAATTTAGTGCATTTTTATCGATGGTTCATATTGACAGAACACCTCCTTAGGTTAATATTCATGAGGTATTATTACATGAAGGGCATTTTAAACTAGAGAGTACATTTCTAACCTTTATATTCTACAGACTTTTTTCCTTGAAAATATATATATAATTTGAATAAAACAGTAATGAAAATGGAAATATTTAATTTTGATATTTAAACAGTAAATTTTATTTAAAAATAATAGTTGATTTATTAATAAAACTTAATATGCTATGTATGTTGTAGCAAGCTTTTAAAAGCATTTTATGAATATATATTTGACAAAATTATAAATGGTTATTAAATCGGTCCTTTGATTTTACTCTTAGAATCTGAACACAAACATATTCAATCTTGACTAAAAAACACCCATAAAATTGCCCTTTCTGCATTTCTCAAAACATAACTTGGCCAAAATATTAAATAGTATAGTATGGGTTTTTTGAGTCATGTTTAATTTTTATTTAATTTTGGTAAAATACACATATTATGAAATTTACCATTTTAACTGTAAGTACACAATTCAGTGGCATTAAATACATTTAGAATTTGTACATCATCAGAATATTTATTTCCAAAATAGAAACTCTGTATTCCTTAAACAATGTTACCTGGTAAGTTTTAAGATTTTGTATATATTGAATTTGGGAAACTTAATTGTGTATGATGATTTATAAATTAGTGTAAATATAAGTATCATTTCTTATGAAATTTTGCATATGTTTGTGTATATGTAAATAGATTTACATATGCATGTGTATGTATTATATTAACAAATAATTTTTGATTCTTATGTTATCATATGTTCAATTAGTTTATTGAACTTTGAGAATTGACTTAATTATATTTAACTGATGTACTATTTTTTGGTGCTTCAGGTACAGATACACATTTTATAACATTTCCAATTGTATATGTACATATTAATATGTTTCACTGGCAAATACTATATAATGAGTATAGTATTTATGTAGTCAAGTTATATATATGTAATATATATATTTGATATATATTTTAGGAACATATCTAATGCCGTATATCCAGATATGTATATAATAGAATAAAATATATTTGATGTTATATAATGTTGAATAAGGAGTAATATATTATTTTTGAAACTACTGTTATTCTTACTTATATATAATTCATATTGTTACTTTTAAAGGTCTTCTTGAATTACTATTTTGTAACTGGTTAACAGGAGTTATTATTATTTTCTGGCAATTTTTGTCTCAAAAAACTCGAAGGCCTGTAATTTTCTAAGAATTGAGTTACTAAATTTTTCTACCTTCTTACTGTTTAGGTCCTACTATTTTTGCTTTTAAGCTATTCAATGTTCTGAGGGTTTTTTTCTTCCTTCCATTAAAATGTCTGCTCAGAAAATATCCACATTTCCTCTTCAATTTTCTAAAGTAGCCTGGAGGCATATCCCATGTGTATATAAAGTATAGCTTTTCCCTTTGGACTTAAAACTTTATTGTAACAAAGGTCCCAGGCTACAAACTTTTTTCCAGGAGATGCTTGAGCAATACCCTTTGAATGAATTCTTAGATATTACCGTCCACCTAACAGTGATCCCAAAGGGACAATGATGTCAGCATTGAAACTTTCTGGGGTTTTGTGCTGCTTATGCTCTGTATTAACACAGGAATAATGCTTTCCCTAAATTGAAGTACTTTATCTTTTTATACAAGGCACAATAGGCATGAATTTCTTAGGATTATGTAAACCTTTAACAGTATGTACTTCAGTGGAAATGTGGCAACACCTCATGTCTACAGTGCTTCTCCCTACCATTTCCTCAAATGAATCTATACAACCTTGCATTTTTTGAATTAAATTTGTATTCTATATAGAGCCAACAGCTACATCCATACTAACAAAGTTATTCTAGTTTAGGGGGCCAGATATGTGCCATGACAATTTTTCTCCTTAACTTCTACTTTATCCATTCAAGTCAAATGACTGTTTCTCACAGCAAAGCCTTTAAAACCGTATTCCTGCTTTCTTACCGTCACAGACCCCAACAGCATAAGGACAGTGAGTTTAATTGTACAACTTAAAACTGAAACTATTGTAAATTACTTTGATATTCTTTATCCTTAATTCCCTTATTGACCTCATTGATGGTTTATCAAATCATATTGACCTCACTGATTCTTTATCAAATCATTTTTATAAACACAAATTTAACATATTTTATAGTCATATGATAGAGTTTGGATTTTTGACTCATGTCTTACGGAGACAGGCATTCATTTTCCTTCACGCAGTTTGCCAGTGTAGCACAGTAATAGTTTTATGGCTTTAAACAACCACAAACCCCTGTCAAAACAGTGACACTTAAAGAATAAAAAGAAAGCAAAACAATGTGATGAAGAGTCTGTTTTTAACATAATGACAATAAAAGGTGCAAAATGAAAATAATAATTCATGTTTTTATACTAAATAATAAAACATGCTTCAATATTCAATATATATTTAGTGAGACTCTGAATTCCATCACAAGTTTAGGTACACAACAAGGAATCAGACAAGTATCTAGTAGGTACCTTTTATTCACCAATATAAATTCCTACATGTGATGTATTTAAAAAATTAGAACTATTGTTCCATATTTTGAAGATAAAATTGCGGTTTACTATCAAGAAAAGATATTCTGACCCTCTAACACTTTAGATTTGCCTGTCTTTAAAAATTCATCTTGGAAAATCAGCCCAAAGCATTGTTAACTTCCATTCCTTCACAGTTCACTACACATATTCAGACATAGGCTTTAAATTATTCCTTAAAGAATACCAGCAGGTGATTGATAACTGGAAAAAATAACCATATCTATAAGAATAAATCAAACTCATCGCCATCCTGCATGCGCAGTCTGCCACAGTTATTTGAGTAATGTCATGTAGCAATATAATCTATATATTGAGCCCCAAGAATTCAAATTAACATCAGCAAAATCATAGTTAATTGCTTAAAATCTACACTCTTGTCGACATAATTATATTTTACTAACATGAAAAGTAACTATTTATTGCATTGAATAAAATTTGTAAATTAAGACATTCTCTGCTTTTATTTTTCCTTCTCTAAGAGTCATTATAAGAGGAAGAAATAAAAGATTTTACCCCAGGAGGCACATCTAATTCTGTGCCCATGAGTAATTCATTAGAAATTTTGTGATGTTTATGGAAAAAGATGATGAGTATGTGGTAATACAAAACCTTATAATGTACTGTTTCAAAATTCGAAGACCCTGCTAGCATCAGGATCAGGATTTTACATTCAGTATAGTTCATACATAAGGTTAATAATGACCTTCAAAACTTGTTCTTATTTGTTGCTGCTGAGTTAAGAACCGAGTAGCAGAGGAGAAAATGATGACGTTGAGGTCACAGCAGGAAACTTATTCTCATTTCAAGTAAAACTCATTTGCTCCTCAGCGAAACATACAATTTACAATCTTTTATATTGCAAAGTATTTAAATGATGTAGACATTAAACTGCTATCTTCAGAAAATAATTTCTTGAGAACATTATTCTTTCATCCCTAAGTATTATCATAAAAAGAAATACCATTTTAATTTTATGGCGTATGTAATTTATATTGCAAAGGTATACATTTTTATAGGCAATTTTAGGGGGAACAATAGAAATAGAAACATTTTGGCTAATAATGGGAATACATTACAAAATTCAAACTGAAAGTCTGTCATAATCTTATTTACATAAATATGCTGGATTTCCATATTGAAAATGTGTTTTAATAGCTTGGGAGAAAAGATTGTTAATTAATCCAGTTCCGACATAAATGCCTAAGTGAATGAAATCTAAATTTTATTTCTGCTCTTATTTTAGATAGTCAGAAAAATTTAACTATTATCAAGGAAATGCTATCCTTTCCCATTCTCTATTTTGTAATATCAAACTGTGTCCTAGCAGTTGAATATAAAATAACAAATGTTTTCCAATGGATTCTATTATAAAGGTTCCCAACAGATTTGATTATCCTGTAGATATAGATGTATAATAGGGAGACCAATTGGAATGTGTATATTTTAAAGTTATTTTATAATGGAAAACTCTCAGGAGGCAAGAGAATTGTGTCTGAATCTAGATACCTTACTGAATACTATAAGAATAAAAGCTAAAAAAGACCAAACTCTCACATATGAATTTATGTGGAAAATGTCAAATCCAAAGGAATGTAAGGTCAAAATGTCCCTTCTCTGTAAATCTTAAGTTTTACCTTTGAATATAGAATGTAAGCACTTTTAATAATTTTTTTTTTTTAAATCACAGTGGGCCATCTCTTCTGTGTCATTAAATGAATGTTCCATGAGGACAGGAAATTTTCTGGTTTCAGAGTTAAGAGCTAAAACTGTCTTCTGAAATGTCAAACATCTTTCTCCTCAATTCTTTCCATTTCCCCCAATACTTAGCTTAATTCTTTATAGGAACGAGGTTGGTAGCCAATAATATCACAAAGCCTGGGCTTCCAAGCATTCTGATTTTCCCTGTTTGCCTAAGCTACATTTGAACAAGTCTTTTTCCCCTTCTATCAGAAGATACGGCTGGGCACAGTGGCTCATGCCTATAGTCTCAGTACTTTGGAGGCCAAGGTGGGAGGGTGGCTTGAAGCCAGGAGTTCAAAACGATACTGGGCAGCGAAACAACACATCCATCTCTAGAAAATGAAATTTAAAAGTAAATAAATAAACCGGACATGGTGGTGTGTCGTGTGCCTGTAGTCCCAGCTACTTGGGAGATTGAGGTGGAAGGATCACTTGAGCCCAAACTGCATCTGAAGAAGAAGAAAGGAAAAGGAGGAGGAAGAGGAGTAGGAGGAAGTGGAGGAGGAGAAGGAGGAAGTGGAGGAGGAGGACGAGGAGGAGGAGGAGGAATAGGAGGAGGAGGAAGTGGAGGAGGAGAAGGAGGAAGTGGAGGAGGAGGAGGAGGAAGTGGAGGAGGAGGACGAAGAGGAGGAGGAGGAGGAGGAGAAGGAGAAAACAGCAATTGCAAGAATGGAATTTTCAAAGGAATATTTGTCAAGAAATAAACCTCTGTGTGTGTGTGTGCGTGTGTGCGTGTGTGTGCGTGTGTGTGTGCGTGCGTGTGTGTGTGATGGGAATGAATAGATGACACTGTCAGGAACCATGCATTTAATGCCTAATACAATCTATCTGACAAATGGGACCTTATTCTTTTCTAAGATACAATTTTCCCATCAGTCCCCACTTTAGTGAGTATAAACTGTTGTTCCTCTTGCCCCTGCTAATTTCACACCCCATTTTACAATAGATATAACATTTAACTTAATTCCACTTATTCCTTTATTTTTGTATTTAGAAAGATATTACCCAGAATATCATCAATATAACAGTTCTTAAAAAATACTTTGTACACAAGTAAGGATATAATTTAGATAGAATTTTATCTCAAAGTAATAAAGAAATAAAATTTTTCTGTATTCACGTAATGAGGAACCCCTCTTTCTTTTGCTAAGGCCATTAAAGGTCTTACTAAGCCTGTGGGCTACTTGCTCAAATTCATTTGACTGTCAGGTGAGGGAAAGAAGTCCACATGTAAATTAAATTATTTTCCTCTAATGTTAAAGTGCTCCTTGTCCCAATTCTGAGTATTTGGCAAGACAGAGATAATGTTTAATTATATTTAAAAATCTAGGTTACAGATTTGATATTTTTAAAAACAGATGCTGAAACCTATTAAGATCCACTAAACATGGTAGCCGTGATGGGAATTTTTGAAAAACATAATTAGTAGTCAGCCTCTGGATTTTTTAGATTCAGGCCTTTTGAGGGATGATGAGATGATTTAGGTAATTTTATTATTTATTTATTTTTGTTTTGTTTTGTTTTGTTTTTGTTTTTAGAGGGATTCTCGCTCTGTCACCAGGCTGGAGTGCAATGGTGCAATCTCTGCTCACTGCAACCTCCGACTCCCTGGTTCAAGAAATTCTCCTGTCTCAGCCTCCCAAGTAGCTGGGATTAGAGGCACTCACCACCACGCCCAGCTAATTTTTGTATTTTTAGTAGATACGGGGTTTCACCATGTTGGCCAAGATAGTCTTATCTCTTGACCTCATGATCTGCTCTCCTCGGCCTCCCAAAGTGCTGGGATTACAGGCGTGAGCCACCGTGCCTGGCCTATTTATTCTATTTCTTTACTTCAGTAGTACCAAGTGAGGACTGAGGCTATGCTTGTAGCTCATACATGTAAGCTGTAGTAAAAAAAGAAAAAGGCAATGGACCTTCTTTTAATAACTAAAATGTTTTCCTATGCATCACTACTAAAATTATTTTTTCCATATACTGTGTATATTTATTTATATATTTTCCTGGGTAATATCTTAAGAATCTTGTGCAATTCCTACCCAAGTGTCACATCTATTCAACAAATAAAATATCTTAGTTTTAGTATTGTTATTTCAGAGTAATTGAAATTAATATAATCTTAAGAAAGGGGAATATAAACTTTATCTTACTTCAAATCCTACATCATTTTTATAAGTTGAAATTGAAGTCTGAAGGCATCTGTGTTTACATCAATATGAAATAAAATTCAGTCTTACTAAGAATGACTAAGTAAAATTTAACTTTGTTCCGATGTGATTAGACTGATGGAGAAAATGGAATTCCTAAAATAAGAGAATTCATTGATTTATATTACACTGTATCTCTTTAGACTGATATACTGATAACATCTCAGTAGTTTGTTTCTGTAAATATATGGTAAGGTATTACAAGTTTTCATTTAATATATTTATAAGTTCAATATACATTTCTGCATTGAAATAAACTAACCCTTACTTTTAGTCATTTGTAAACATCAATACATGAACATTAATAATCTAGATAAAAAGAACTTTGCTAGATGACGAGTTAGTGGGTGCAGCGCACCAGAATGGCACATGTATACATATGTAACTAACCTGCACAATGTGCACATGTACCCTAAAACTTAAAGTATAATAATAAAAGAAAAAAAATCAAACAAAACGAAACAAAAAAAAAACAAAAAAAAGAACTTTGAATTAAAGTGTCCTTCTAAAAATTATTTAACGTGTGTGTGTGTGTGAGAGAGAGAGAGAGAGAGAAATTATTTAACGTGTGTGTGTGTGTGTGTGAGAGAGAGAGAGAGAGAGAGCAAAGCGAGGGAGAGAGAGATTATATACTCGAAATTCAGGGGAAAGAAACAAGCAATAATGATGAACCAAGCTGATATGCAGGTTTTATTTACAAATATAACCCCATGCCTTCCTTGAATCAGTAGATGATCAAACCCAATATTTTTGATATTCATTACTGAAATCCTATATAAATTTAATTGTTATTCTGATCATAATTCTACAATATTAGAAATGCCTTCAATTATCTCAGTGAGTCCATTAATTAGAGAACTTTGTAAAACATTACCTTCCTAGAGTCCCTTGCTTTTTACAAGACTCTTCTACTTGTATTTTCTTATTTAATTCTCGCAGAAATCATATGAGTAGGATTAGCAATTCCTGTTACACACAAGAAGAAACTGAACCCAAATGGATTAGGCTATAGAAGCAAGATTACACACCTAAGGTTATAGACTCAAGACTTGAGCTCAAATTCTCTAACTGTAACTCAAATTTCTATTTCCCCTGTGTCGGCTGCACAATGAATTATATATAGCACAGTGTTAAGAGTCATTTTAGAATAGAGATCATTTTCATGAGTCAAAAAAAAAAAGTGTTTTTAACTCAATGTAAATTTTTTAAAATCAGCCTGGGTGTGGTGGCTTACACCTATAATACTAGCAATTTGGGAGGCCAAGGTAGAAGGATTGCTTAAGTCCATGAGCTTGAGGCTGCAGTAAGCTATGATTATGCCACTGTACTCCAGTATGGGCAACAGAGTGAGACTGTCTCAAACAAAAAAACAAAAAATCCAAAATCCAAAATTGTAAAAAATCAATTAATTCCAGTACTGCTTTCACTAAATAGTCTTCTTAACAAAAGTTGGCTGTGTTTAAATGACCCACTGTTATTACTGATATTTAACATAAAGTGTTGACTATTTCTGAGGCTTTTTCACAATAAATACCTAGCAAGGAAAATTGCCATTTAAAGTCCTTAAAATGCTTACTTGTGATTTACCTCTTCCAAAGAAAAATATAAACTCTTTGTTCTGAGAGTAAAAAAAAAAAAGTAGTACAAATATTCTTGAAGCTGGATACCTGTAGAATAAAAAATAAGAAGAAGAAAACCACTTACAGGCCACATCTATGCAGATGCAGATTTAATTTATTTTAAAGGGCATCTTTAGATATTTAAAAGAAATATATTTTTTTACTTGCTCTGAATTTTTCTCAGAACACTTAGATTATCATTTGTCATGTTAAGTCAAAGCACTTTCTCCAGACCTTAAAGGTCCCCAAATCAGGTACTGCATCAAATAAACTGAAGCTTCTACATTGCCCTGAGACATGACAAATATGTTTGATGATTGTGATATTTTGCTCATTTTCAAAGCATACATGGAAGGCCCTTGTTGTACGTCAGGGAGAGCAGTGAAAGTATAGAATATGGACTAATCATGCTTATAGTTATATGACAGCTGAGAGATAAATCTGTGTCATTTTATTTAGATTTGGAAATTTTTTAATAAGACAAAATAGAAAAAAATACCTAATGACAATGTTAAGGGAGTTGTTTGGTTTGGTTGAATTGAATTTATGTCCATAAAAGTATACATTCTCTTTAATGGAAAATTAATTTCCTTCATTTCGTTTTTGCCATTGAAATCATAGCTATATAAACAACCAAGAACTAGAGTTATCACATCATGTGAGCGTATATGACATAAATAACTGTTGAAGTTACATTTCAAAACATTTTGAAAAGTTTATTTAAACTGTGTGAAAAGCATAATTATGAGTACTTTGCTTCATCTGTTCCCGGAAATGTACCACTGTGGTCACACATCTACCCCTCTAGTCACTTAAAAGTTTCTTCTGGGCCGGGCACGGTGGCTCACACCTGTAATCCCAGCACTTCGGGAGGCAGAGGCGGGCAGATCACGAGGTCAGGAGATCGAGACCATCCTTGCTGACATGGTGAAACCCCATCTCTACTAAAAATACAAAAAAAATAGCCGGGTGTGGTGGCAGGTGCCTGTAGTCCCAGCTACTCCGGAGGCTGAGACAGGAGAATGGCGTGAATCGGGCAGGCGGAGCTTGCAGTGAGCGGAGATCGCGCCACTGCACTCCAGCCTGGGCGAGAGTGAGACTGTCTCAAAAAAAAAAAAAAAGTTTCTTCTGTACAACTCCAAGTTGTCTGTAAGGGAAAAGATACACTTCTACCCTGGGAAAAGAAAATTGCTCTTTTCATCATAGTTCAACATTTAATTATTGCTTGTTACAATCTAATTTTAGAAAATATTTTTTAAAAGAAAACAAATCCCTATTTTCCTATCTTCTGAGAAAAGACTATGTGCTCCAACATACTATTTTAAAAACAGAAATATTAAAATAAAATCCTGAGTTATTTAACTTATTGAAATCTTTGTTTTGGGAAGATGTACTTTGTTAATTTGTTCCCTTTCTTTTTGATCCATAAGTAAGGAAACATTTTCTCTTTATAAATGGAATATTTCGAAGCCAGGCGTGGTGGCTCATGCCTGTAATCCAAACACTTTGGGAGGCTGAGGTGTGAGGACCACCTGAATTCAGGAGATGGAGACCAGCCTACCCAACATGGTGAAACCCTGTCTCTACTAAAAACACAAAAATTCGCCCGGCATGATAGTGCGTGCCTGTAGTTCCAGCTACTCGGAAGGCTGAGGCAGGAGAATGGCTTGAACCCAGGAGGCAGAGGTTGCAGCGAGCCAAGATCCACTGCACTCCAGCCTGGGCGACAGAGCGGGACTCCATTTAAAAAAAAATGAATAAATAAAAATAAAAGTAAATGGAATATTTCTAGGTAAAGATACATTCAGTTTAAAATAGGATTATCTGCATATTATTTTCTTATTGTAGTATAGCAAAGATAATATTTATCATTGAAAATCATATTTGAGTTATTAATTCCTATCATTATGCAGTGCTATGGGAATGTATCTACATGTTAACACTTTTTTTAAAAAGAGGTATTGAAGATTCCTAAATGTTGCCAAACAATAAAGGTGTCATCTGAGCACAAGACAGAGGTGCTAGGAAAGATTAGGAATGTCAAGAATGGTAGGATTTGGGCTCATACTTTGCCTGGTACTAGACTGTTTATATTTTTATAACTCGTATAAATTAGGATATATTAAGTAATCAAGGGGGATCTAAAGGGAATGTCAGTGAGGAAAGAGACCATTACATATGGCCCTAGGATACCTAGACAAAACAGTTCCATCCAGTAAGTAAGAATCAACAGTTTATTGTTTCTTCTGCTTTTTAAATTGGATACGGCATATTGTATTCCAATATTAGTAACATTTATTAATATAATAATTTTAATCTATATTGGCATATAATGAAAACAGAATAAAGCAGCTTAGATTTATTTTGATAAGGTTTTAAAGTTTTTCCAAATACATATTTGGAGATTTCCAACTAAAATTGAGAGTGCTTCCTTCTTGTATGTATTAATATAATTCCCTATTATTCCCCAATGTGTTCAGGTTTCTTTTATTGTTCTGACATAACTGTTAGCTGTAACCTTCCAAAAGTGTCCCGCTAAGATAATATGAATACTCTATGAAATAAATATCAACTTTCATTAAATTTTATGTTTTTCATCTGCCCTGTACATTTTTTCTTACGTGATTTTATTGGTGTTATCTGTGAAAGAACACAGTCTAATGTTAAAAGTAGAACTTCTTCCAGTGAAAAAAGCACAGTGGTTAAATTGCCAATAAACTGACAAATACAAGATTTTAATTATACTTCCTATTTTTAAAAAACTTTATGTCTTTTTATTCTACTAGAGTCCTAACAAAGTCAATTTGGGGCTTGCTACTCTAAATGATTCAGGCTCAGAGTTCCCTGAGGATTCTGTTACTCACCTGTTGGGAAGAATGTGGTCATTGCCTTCAATGCCTATTGAGTTGCTGGTGTGACTAAATTAAACATTTAGGTCTCTTGTCAGCTCTAAGGTTTGTACTTCCGGCAAGATTGAAAGAAAATGTCACTCAAGAACATCCCTGTGTGAGATATGCTTTCTCCTATCTGATAAAATAGAATGTAATTTTTTATTTTTTATGGAAACTGCCATTTAAATACTTATGACATATTTTATTTCATGGAGAAATAAATCCTCAAATGTGACAGCACAACAGCAAGACTGAAATGTTTATGGCCTAGAAATGCCACGAGTTATAAGTTTTGGTGGGATTTTTGGAGTCCCAATACTTGTTAAATGCATCAAAAAATCAACTTTTCTTTATAAACTTTTCGGATAGGGGAAAATTCAAGTTATTCTAAATTGAAGGAATAATTTTGATTCAATTATGTAGTATTCATTTTTGTAAAAATTTAAAAAGAAAAGAAATTAGCTGTGCTTTCTTTTACGTTTAAGTAAAATTTAACTTCTAGTTTCCCAATTTTAAATTTCAGGGAAAAGAATCTATAAAGTTTCATATTTTAAAAAACATCACAGTCAAAATATAATTATTTTAGAATATGGTTCCAATTCATTTGCTTTATGCCAATTATTATTTTACTTAAGTTTATACGAAAACTATTAGTCTTCATATTAACAACAAATTGAGAGGTCACCCAAAACATGATGCAAGCTCTTAAAAACCTAGAATCTTGTGTAATGCATTTTTGTATCTATTTTAGAAAGTTCAGTGCTTTGTATAAAGTGTTCACTCCATAAATGCTTGTATACAGCAATGTCTCAGGCATAAAGTTGATCTCTTGGTAACCTTGAGGTTTGTATGTTTAAAAGGTAGGAAACTGAAAACAATATTAGACATGGCTGTATTACATAGACAAGAAAATGAGGTGACACATTAAGCCATCATTTCCATTGAGGACTATATTGACATACAGCATTATTTTAATCTTAATTAAAAATAATTGTGCTGTGTGTGTGCTTTCTTAGCCTTTAATTAACATAAGCTCTTCAAAACCAAAGTGGCAGCATAATAATGCGTTCATAATTTATAGTATAAATGGTGGCCCTAGGGAAAATGCATTGCTGTAACTCCCTTGTAGGTCTATGCTGATGTCACAATGCGGATGAAAACACCAATCAACCAGAGGATGAATGGGGCGAAAGAAAACGTTAGACATGATTTATGTTATTTAAAGTATTATATTTTTGATTTTGCTATAATGTGTGTCAATTACCAGTCGATAGTGCATTTTTTCTAACACCTCTGTGTTCATGTGTATGTAATTTTATTTTTGGGGGTAGAATATAGTGGCACATTTCGCAATCAGGTAAATCTGCAGGTGACAGTCAAGTGAATTTAAACACTATAGTTTTTAATTATAATTCCAACAAATAGCCTGCAAGTAGTTAAAGAGAAATGGATGATGGCTGTGGTAAAGCAGACAATAACAAGTTCATCAGAGTGACGACTAATGTTAATTTTCTTCTCTTCCATGAATAACTTTATTCACTCTGTGATTGATGATCTGCATTTTTGTAAGAAATCATAGGGGCAGATGGTTTAAAATAACAGATGAACCCCTAAATCATTTATACGTAACCTTAGAAAGACTTCTAAAACTTGGACAGGGAGTGGATTCACATCGTTATTTCTTCCTTTAGCTAAAACTGCAATGTGAGGTGACCCAAAGAAATTCCGGGTAAAGGAGGAAAGCCCTAAAATTATCAATTTTGATTACACATTGTGACTTGCCCTTAGGTTGTTCTGCTTATTTCTCTAACTAAAAGTCTAGTCCCTGTTTGTTCTTTATTATTTTGCTGATTTATCCTAACCAAAGACCAAATACATGATTATAGGCCAAGAATGGTTCTGGTTCTGCAGGTTGTACGAGAAGCTTGGAGCTGGCATCCGGTCCTGCTGAGGCTGCAGGAGGCTTACAGTCAATCAAGCAGAAGAATAGTGGGAGCATGCATGTCACATGGCAAGAGTAAGAGAGAGATGCCAGGCTCTTTTAAACAATCAGATTCTGCAGTAACAGAGTGAGGAGTCATTCATTACTGCAAAGACCGCACAAGCCATTCATGAGGGATCCATCCTCATGACAAAGACCTCCCACTAGGCGCCAATCACGTTAGGAATTACATTTCCACATGACAACTGGAACAAGTATCCAAACCATATCAGTTATTAATAATGGTTTCCTCTGCTGCAAAAGCCTCAACAGCAACAATTAAAATGATTCCTATGAATAATTATTCTTATTTTTTAAAAAATCTAAATTTCTTTAAATTTCCATTTTATACTGGGTTCAGGGGTACACGTTCAGGTTTGTTACAAGGATGTATTGCGTTGTGCTGAGGTTTGGGCTTCTATTGATCCCATCATGGAGATAGTGAACATAGTAACCAATAGGCACTTTTTCAGCTCTTTTCCTCTCTCCCTCCTTCCTTTTGGAATCTCCAGTGCCTACTGTTCCCATCGTTATATCTGTGTGACCCTAAGATTTAGTCCCACTTATAAGTAAGAACATGTGTTGATTTTCTGTTTCTGTGTTATTTTGCTTACGATAATGGCCTCTTGCTGCATCCATGTTGCTGCAAAGGACATAATTTCATTCTTTGTATGGATGCATAGCGTTCCATGGTGTATATGTACCACATTTTCTTTATCTAATTCACCACTGATGCGACCTCACTTTATTCCATGTCTTTGCTATTGTGAATAGTGTTGCAATGAACATACGAATGCATGTGTCTTTTTAGTAGAATGATCTATTTTCCTAGGCATATGTACTCACTAATGGGATTGCTAGGTCAAATGGAGGTTCTCTTTTTAGTTTTTTGAGAAATCTCCAAGCTGTTTTCCACAGTGGCTGAACTAATTTGCAGTCCCACCAACAGCGTATAACCATTCCCTTTTCTCCACAGGCTTACCTGCATTTGTTATTTTTTGATATTTTAATAATAATTATCCTTACTGATGTAAGATGTTATCTCACTGTGGTTTTGTTTTGTATGTCTCTGATGATTAGTGGTGTTGAGCATTTTTTCATATGTTGTTGACCACTTGTATGTCTTTATTTATTTATTTTCTAATTTTTTAGATGGAGTCTTGCTCTGTTGCCAGGCTGGAGTGCAATGGCGCCATCTCGGCTCACTGCAACCTCCAACGCCCGGGCTCAAGGGATTCTCCCGCCTCAGCCTCCCAAGTAGCTGGGATTACAGGCATGTGCCGTCATGCCCAGCTAATTTTTGTATTTTTAGTAGAGACACCCAGGGATTTCACCATGTTGGCCAGGATGGTCTCGATCTCCTGACTTCGATCTGCCTGTTTTGGCCTCCGAAGTGCTGGGATTACAGGCATGAGTATGTCTTCTTTTGAGAAGTGTCTGCTCAAGGATTTTGCCACTTTTTAATGGGGTTGCTAGTTTTTTTTCTTGTTGATTTGTTTAAGTTTCTTATAGATTCTGAATATTAGTCCCTTCTCAGGTACATATATGTGTGTATTTTCTCCCATTCTTTTATCTGATACAAGAATACTGACCCTCACTCTTTTTTCTTTTCCATTTGAGTGATAGATCTTTCTCCATTTCTTTACTTTAAGCCTATAGGCGTCATTACATTTGAAATTGGCCTCTTGCAGTAGCAGAAAGAAGGGAAAGTTCTAAAAAATTATAAAATGTTATATCTATATATTGAAAGAACGAACTTTTATTTGATGAAAAAGATGAATATAAAAGAGTATTTTAAAGAATGTATTTAATTTTGGAAGACATTACAAAAACAAAACAGATTGTTTAAAAAACTTGTGAAATTTTAAATGTTTTGTAATTCTCATGTTTATGATGATTTATTAAATTAGAAAATCATCTTTAAAACTTATAGCGGTATGTTTTATCAAAGAACAAGCAGTATCTCCTAAAAATCTATTATATTTTGAATTAAATCCTTTATTTTTCTTAAAGCGTAACCAGGAGGAAGGTTATGGGGTTGTGGGACAGATGTAGAGTAGCCAAGATAATTGGCCTTCAAATGTCATCTTTTCTAAAGCTATCTATCTGTCTATCTATTTATCTATCTATCTATCCATTTATCTGTATATCTATTATGTATCTATATGTATTTGTGTGTGTGTTTGTATATATATAAATATATATACATATACACAGTCCATCCTCATTATCTGTAGATTCTGTATTTGTGAAATTGCCTACTCACTAAAATTTATCTGTAACCTCAATATTAACACCTGAGGCATTTTCATAGTAATGGACATACACACAGTGGCAAAAAATTTGGGGCCCAGCAGCACATGTTCCCAGCCAAGATCAAACAAGGTGACATTCTGCCATTTGTTTCACCTCTCATACTGCAAAAACATTTCCTTTTCATGGTCTGTTTGTTGCCAAGTTTTTTTTTTTTTTTTTGTATTTTCTGGGCTTTTTTGTAGGTTATTTCACTGTTAAAAATGTGCCCCAAGCATTGTGCTGAAGTGCTGTCTAGTGTTCCTACTTGAAAGAAGGTTGTGATGTCCCTTTCACAGAAAATAACAACAACAACTGTTAGATAAGCTCCCTTCAGGCATGAGCTATAATGCTGTTGGTCCTAAGTTCAATGTTAATGAATCAATAATGTGGGCAAGGGGAAATTCATGATTTGTATATCGGTCACTCTGGAAAGTACCAAAGTAACATCTATAGTGAATGATGAAACTACGGTAAAGGTAGAAAAACTGCTAAATTTGTGAACTCGAGATTGCATCTGATTTTTAAAAACTTATTGCATAACACTGCTGTGAGGTTGAAAACCGATGTCTGATCATGTTACTCAAAGTCAGGAAAATGTAAGACCCTTTACATCTAGTGATTTATTATAAATTAATACTGCATATAATTAGTGTAAGAAATATGTATTAAATAAAATGGATTTAAACGGAAACACGCATAAAATAAGCTTATGTATTGATAAGCTGAGAGAAATACCGTGACCCGAGGTTCACGGGAATTTAACCCTGCATTTTCCCAATGAGCAATGGCTTTGTATTTACTAATTCAGTGTTTATGGTGACTTTGTAATACAAAAGTACTCTGAATAAAGGGAATTAACTGTGTACAATACATATACTCAGAAGGTCAACTTCATGACTTTATTGAGAGTCCAGTATGTGAATAAATAACGTTAAGAATTGACATTTGCGTAATGTTTTCCATGTTAAAAACCTGAGGTGTTTTCATGTATATTATATTCAGGGAGCCAGGATTTTATTGATTTCAAAATGTTGTTTCAATAGCAATAGCTTTGATATATGTATATTGAACAGAAATTCTATTAATAATTTCAAAGTACCTGCAATAGTGTTTTTTGACTATAATCAGGACTCCTAACAACAACAATTACAATGAAAAAACAAAGCATACTGATGTTCTTCAAGGACACAGTATGATTGACAGAGTCAAAAATAATAACAATTAATGAGGGAAAATTCTCACAGGAAATCTGAATTTTTCTTTAGTGAATTTTACATTCTGACAATGTTTCGTTTTTCAGTCATCATGACTTTTGGTTTGTAGTAAAGAGGTCAGGTATTTAAAGATCTCCTACTGGTTAAGCTGCTCTAAAGTTCCCTTGGTAGATCTACTATTTTGACACTCAAATTGTCTCAATTATAAACTCTGACATTCTCATTGGCAATTATCGGCCACTGTTGTGTGTGTGTGACAAATGAAATTAATTTTAGCTTAAATATATTTATGATTATAATTAATTTATATTACATAAATTAATATTAATGTATTATTAAATAATCTATCAAGTAGTAATTTAATTCTAAAATTTTATATATTTTAAGTATTTCATTTTAATACTTCTTATACAGATGAATGCGTTCCTTTGATTTGGATTCATGTACCTTTTTAAGATACAGTTGGGAAAAGAAAGTAAGGTGTTTCTATTTTCTTTCCTAATGTTATGGTAGCGGGGACATTATTGATGGAGCAACCTTAGGCTGTCTTAAGATTTAATTATTTTACAGCTTTTCCTAGCAAGGAGCAAAATTAGGCTGCTTTTCCTGATGTCTAAGAATTCCTTCCCTGGGTTTCCAAAATAGACATCACATGAATTAAACCTTATGTGGAAAACTGATAAGATTTTTCAGAAAACCAGATAGATTTCAAGTTTTCAAAATATTGAAAGAATGAGTAGAGTGCTGCTTAGTTCTACAATTACTGATATGTTTTACAAATGTTATGATAGAAAGACTTGGCCTATTGATTCAACTTTTAATTTATTACTCAGTAATTACAGTTGTGAATAGAGTCCCAAAATAATAATATTAGGGAGAGCATTTATTTGTGTATTGCCAAAAGAAACTATTTTACCTCTATATGCTTTTCAGTTCAGTTTTTCCTAACATTCTGTGAAAGGTTTGGTGAACAAAATTGCATTATTTATCCAGCGCTTCTTTAAACTTTTTGGTTTTTTAGGCAGTAAAACAGCAGAATATATATTTTTTCAGGAATCATAGTTTATTTTCTATAAAAAAATGGTAAAAATGCTCTAGTTAATCAGTTTAAAAATGCATATGTTTGCAACAGTTTCCAGCTCCGAAATTGGAATGTTTGATTATAAATGATATATTATACTTTAATTGGTAAAGTTTCATCTCTTAGTAATACATAAAATAATGGTGTGTCTTATAATTGATGGCTTATTGGTTTTGATGAAATAAACTTCATTTCTGATATATTTTTTCATAGGTGGAATTTTTTTTTTTTTGAGACGGAGTGTCGCTCTGTTGGCCAGGGTGGAGTGCAGTGGCATGATCTCAGCTCACTGCAAGCTCCCTCTCCAGGGTTCACGTCATTCTCCTGCCTCAGTCTCCCAAGTAGCTAGGACTACAGGTGCCCGCTACTATGCCTGGCTGATTTTTTGTATTTTTAGTGGAGATGAGGTTTCCCCGTGTTAGCCAGGATGGTCTCGATCTCCTGACCTCGTGATCCGCTTGCCTCGGCCTCCCAAAGTTCTGGGATTACAGGTGTGAGCCACCGTGCCCAGCCTGCTACTTTTTACTTGATGTGAACACTTCCTATTGTTGAGATTATGTTTGCCATGCAGTCACTGAAATTTCTCAAGGTCTTGATTTTCAAAGGGAGTTTTGCAATTAAGCTCTTAGACCATCAAAGCCAAAATGGGCATTTCCCTCATTCAATTTCTGTGGATATATGTGAAAACATAGCCAAAGATATTATTAAATATCCACAGAAATTATTAAAACCATTACATTTAAATTTATTAAAATATAAACGAATGTCACCAGTTGTTTTCAGATTACCAACCAAAAATCTGAAGTACTCATATAATGATTTCAATTCAGTTTTACTTATTTGCACATCTTTATATCAAGCCTTTAATGATTTGGTCAAAGCAAATAAAATAATTAAAATGTGGTGATTAGGATAATGTAACATCTATTTTACTTGAAAGATTGGTATTAAATGTCAATGACTTTAAAAGTTTTAAGTATCTTCTCCTTAAATATTAGAGAAAAGATTGAGCAGAATGACACTTAAGCCTTAGATTTTGTGTAAATGCCTACCTGATGCAGAGTAAACCATTTTCACCTATGCTTCCATCCTTTGTTAAGTTAGGAAAAATAACATTTTTCACAGGAATTTACCAAGCCTTCCTTGAGATGAAATAGTATTATCAACACAGCAGGTACTCAATAAATATTTTGGAATGAGAGAATAAAGAATTGTAAGAGACCTAACGTTGTATGAATTTTTAAAAATATTATTACCAGTTAGCTTGAAAATATATGACACCAGACAACTTAAATTCAAATTACTAGAAGAGAATAACAATATATTTATATCATAATTTATACTTCAATATGTATTTACATATTCTTTTGTATTTAGCAGTCATTAAAACATTACATACATGTATATATACGCACATATATATTTGAATATGCACATATATGTATATCTTCGTTTAATACTTTGCCAGTGGTTGCTACCAATGAGAACATGCTCTTGGGTTTGATAATCAGTTAATGTATAAAATGTACATTGTATGAGAATAATGTAAATTTTTTGAAAAGCCAATTAAAACATTTATTATATCTCCTTTCTTGTCCTTAAGCCAAACACAGTCTATCTCTAAGGTAGTACAAAAGGATATCACACAATTGGCTAGAGAAAAGACTAATATAATTCTTCTTCTAAGAAAGCATGAATTTAAACGCTGAAAAAATGCAGGAAGTATTACAAAAGAATGAGAGAGTAGTGACTGAGACTTTAGGATTCAATAAAGTACACATCACAATGAAACTTTATTAAAAATGGCTTAAAGTAAAGGATACACGGAGTAAGTAATTGAGTAGATGAATTGAAATATTACTGAGATGTAAGATGTCACACCTAGGTAGAGTTTATTTACTTGTTTTCTAGAAACCCCTTAATCCACCTAGTTTCCTTCTGACCACTATCTCTTGCCACTTCAGTGAATGGAGTTCAGAATGCTGTAGATTTCAGGTCTTGCAAAGGAAAACAAAATTGCTCAATTAGACTCTTGAGAAAGGCTTCATTTGTCATTGTGAATTACTTTGGTCGTTGGCTACTCTTAAGGAGGAAAAAGGAAAGGGAATGAGGGATCATGCTCTGTGAACAGGTCAGATTAAACTAGCTAGAAGGGTTCATAGTGTCATATATATTGTTAAAAAAAAAGAAAAAGAAAAAGAGAAAAAGAATCTTTGATAGCCAATAACTTAATTATCTGCAACTATCAGTTTGGAAGGGCTTTTAAACATGTCCAAAATGTCTACCAAATTTTCAACAGGAGTGACAGCAGATTTTTAAGTAAGAAAAAAAATGTAGCAGTCTTTCTAGAATAAAACTCTGACAGATTATGATGAATTACCTTATTATAGCTGCTCGCATGACAAATGTACTTGATCACTGTTTCTTCCTGGGAATAGTTGAGCTTATCCAGAGGCAAAAGTTGAAAGGAAATGAGAGCTAACTAGTAATCTTAAGTGTAATACATCAGCATTTCTATAAAAGTATTCAAGAAAACCTTATCAATTACTGTTTATGTCAACAGAAAGTATTTCTTCTATTCCCTCATGATATAACCTTTTTTTGAGGATTTAAGTGATATAGATCCCTTTTTAAAAGATTGTAAAAGAAAAATTGTAAAAGATTGTAAAAGAAAAAAAGATTTTTATTTTACAAGTTCTATAAGGTATCCAGCTTTAAAAAAGATCCTCAGATAGGTTCCCACCCTAAGTTTTAGTTGAAATGGTAGCCACACATACTTACATATACTCCTAACATAAAGTTTTACTTATTCAAATATTTTTATATGAAGAAATGACAATTCAGAAAAATAGTGGAATTAAGAAAACTCAGTGGATGTTAAAAATGTTTACTGAGTAAAAAATTTCTCAACAAGTTTATTTAAAGAAATATTTTGATTTCTGAATTTTTAACATTTCATTTCTGGATTTGCATAAGCATGCTTCTGTTGGAAAATATGCTCAGGAAGTCAAATGCATTGACAAAACAGTTATATTGATTTTTATTCCACTATTTAAGGATGAATTGTAAATAAGTCTCCTGGGTTTCATAATTTTAAATAATGCATGTATAAAGCTAAGGATTTTGGTCATTACTTAGAAATTTAATGGTAGGTTAGGTTGCATTGTTTTGCATTATTTTTCTTTATTTGAATGTAACACAATCTAGATCATGCTGGATCATTCTTTTATTATTTCTTTGAAGAATTGTGTTTCCTGAGTAGGTTGAGTATTTTATAGACAACACATTAATAGTCAAATACTTATGAACTGTCAACACCGTATTGTATATTTCCCTACATACCAATTTGGATAATTGGAGTTAATGAGACCAAACGATCAAAACTAGTGTGATGTGTTCAGATAGTACATGATGTAGGAAGATCCAGCTATAAAACTATCACTTCAAAGTGGTCAATACAGATGCTCAGTGAAGCTTAGTTTTTGAAATATTATGTACCTAAGCAACACAATGAATGACTTTGCTGAGTGAATTTTACAAACCTATAGTCTTTTCTGCATTTCATTAATTCTCTTAGAGTGCACTGTGTTAAGGCAGAATGTATTACGTGTGAATAAGAAGTGTCCAGTAATTTTCGAAGTGCAGATTGTGATCCATTAGTGAATTACCTTAACAGTTCAGATGTTTATGACAAGAATCAAACATAGATAATAGAAAATATTGTGTCCGGACTTGGTGGGTTCTTGGTCTTACTGACTTAAAGAATAGAAGCCGCTGACCCTCGCGGTGAGTGTTACAGTTCTTAAAGGCGGCGTGTCCGGAGTTTGTTCCTTCTGATGTTCAGATGTGTTCGGAGTTTCTTCCTTCTGGTGGGTTCGTGGTCTCGCTGGCTCAGGAGTGAAGCTGCAGACCTTCGCGGTGAGTGTTATAGCTCTTAAGGTGGCGCGTCTGGAGTTGTTCCTTCCTCCCGGTGGGCTCGTGGTCTCGCTGGCTTCAGGAGTGAAGCTGCAGACCTTCGCGGTGTTACAGCTCATAAAGGCAGTGTGGACCCAAAGAGTGAGCAGTGGCAAGATTTACTGCAAAGAGCAAAAGAACAAAGCTTCCACACTGCGGAAGGGGACCGGAGCGGGTTGTCACTGCTGCTCGGGCAGCCTGCTGTTATTCTCTTATCTGGCCCCACCACATCCTGCTGATTGGTAGAGCCGAGTGGTCTGTTTTGACAGGGCGCTGATTGGTGCATTTACAATGCCTGAGTTAGACACCAAGCTTCTCCATGTCCCCATCAAATTCAGGAGCCCAGCTGGCTTCACCCAGTAGATACCTCACCGGGGCTGCAGGTGGAGCTGCCTGCCAGTCCCGCGCCGTGCGCCCGCACTCCGCAGCCCTTGGGTGGTCGATGGGACTGGGCTCCGTGGAGCAGGGGGCGGCGCTCATCGGGGAGGCTCGGGCCGCACAGGAGCCCACGGAGGGGGTGGGAGGCTCAGGCATGGCGGTCTGCAGGTCCCGAGCCCTGCCCCGCGGGAAGGCAGCTAAGGCCCGGCGAGAAATAGAGCGCAGCGCCGGTGGGCCGGCACTGCTGGGGGACCCAGTACACCCTCCGCAGCCGCTGGCCCGGGTGCTAAGCCCCTCATTGCCCGGGGCCGGCAGGGCCGGCCGGCTGCTTCGCGTGCGGGGCCCGCCAAGCCCACGCCCACCCGGAACTCCAGCTGGCCCGGAAGCGCCGCGCGCAGCCCCGGTTCCCGCTGGCGCCTCTCCCTCCACACCTCCCTGCAAGCTGAGGGAGCCGGCTCCGGCCTTGGCCAGCCCAGGAGGGGGCTCCCACAGTGCAGCGGCGGGCTGAAGGGCTCTCAAGTGCCGCCAAAGTGGGAGCCCAGGCAGAGGAGGCGCCGAGAGCGAGGGAGGGCTCTGAGGACTGCCAGCACGCTGTCACCTCTCAATATCACAAGTGTAAGAAAGGTTATTGTTTTATGTAACTTGTGTTTCAGTTCAGTATATATGCGTATATTCATATATACAAATGTGCTCACAGGATCACATTACACAGTGCATTTCTTTCCTCTGGGGTGTAGCCAAAAACTGAAAATCTAGGAGGGGAATCATTGATTAACACAGTAACAGCAAATAAACTGAGCCCACATTTGAGACCTTAGGTAAAGTTCTCCTCTCTGCTGTTCATCAGAACCACCTGTGGAGGTTCTGAAACATACAGAAGAATGTTTCTGATTATACCAATTAAATCCCAAACACTTGGTGTGGGATAACATTAATGTGTTTTGCTTTTGATTTAGAGCTCTCCAGGCAGTTAGGGTATGCAACTAAGTCACAGAACCTTTGTCATAAAGTAGCCATCATATGTTAGAGATATATTACATTCTATGATTATACAAACTTTTATCTGTGTACCAGTCAATGACAGGAGTATCATAAAGACAAGTAGGACAATTAATTGATCAAGAGTGTTGTAAATATTGGAAACATTAAGAATGCAGTAATTGATTTTCCATCTTCTTTGAATTAAACATATGTTAGCTCTAGTCAAACAGCAATGAAACATGTTTGGTATTTTTGCTTTCGGTTATTGTTTTTGGGTTTTTTTGGTATGTTAAATTCATAATTTCAGCTTTAATATTTTTTTGCTATAGGTCAAGTTTTCCTTTATCTGACATGTCCACAATTCTTACAGTCCTTCTTTTTTAGAATAGTCAAATCTGATCCTTTTGTTTGATAAGGCAAAAGACAATTAAAACTTGCATTATAATACTACTGCAATTTCTACTATCAGCACCAGGGTGTACAGAGGAGTAAACTATTTCCCCTGCATTATTTTCATCATCATTATTTGGTGCCTATTGTTTTGTGCATCAGGTAAATTGTGGAGATAAGGGCAGCATATACAAAGTAAACAAGTAGATTTGGACTTCAGTGTTCTTTTTCACTTTGTGTTGTTTGTTTTGTTCTGCTTAATTTAGCTGCTCTTTAGCTTGTAACTCTCAAAGTCAGTGGAAAGTCAAAGTCAGAGAAGATCTAAATGTTATAAACAAGTTTGACCAGCCCCAGTGATGTGTATAAGTTTGACATCTATTTAGAATGTATGAATTGGACCAGGACATGCAACATTAACTTTCCAGCCTTATTCCTGATAGTTTTCAATAACATGTTAAAATTCAGCAGCATGTGTTGAAATGTAAAATGAACACAGCATAAATTTAAAATGAAATAATTTCAGAGTTTGTATTTTAATTACACAAAAGTCTTCTGATTTTTTTTTTATTTTTTTAAGAGCCGGGATATCACTATGTTGCCCAGGCTGGACTCCAACTCCTGAGCTCAAGTAGATCCTCCTGCGTTAGCTTCCCAAAAAGCTAGGACTACAGGCACACACCATACCCCATGGCTTCTGCTATTTACTCCTCAGTCTGTTTGGCCTTTGTGTTTTTGGATTCATGTTAATTCTTTTTAACTGATATATACTTCATGAAAGATGAAATACTGGCATGGTAATTTCAATAATTTTTGCACTACAATTCCTCTCTTTTATTAAAAGTAAAATTATCATTATAGAATTAACTACCAAAAATACAGTGTTTTGCCCAACATTTTAAATGTTATAGTCCCAAAAATAAATATTCTAACACTTAAGTTATTTACTTTAAAGCACTATGCTACAGAATAATTTATCTAAAACAAGGTTTTTAAGTATGAAAAACATTAATTATGATAGTAAAATAAATGTATGAAGGTAACCAGGAGAATGTGTTTCCAAGTTTGTATTTAAATTCAGCTATGCAGATATATAATATTTGTAAAGTTATTTCTGTGAAAAAGAATCCATATGTACTTATTATTTTAAGAAAGGTTTTTGCCCTGTCACCCAGTGTATTTTTTTTTTTTTTTTTTTGAGACAGAATCTTGCTGTGTCACCCAGGCTGGAGTGCAGTGGTGCGATCTCGGCTTATTGCAACCTCCACCTCCCTCCCATGTTCAAACGATTCTCCTGTCTCAGCCTCCCAAGTAACTGGGGCTATAGGCGTGCACCACCATGCCTGGCTAGTTTTTTGTATTTTTAGTAGACATGGGGTTTCACCATGTTGGTCAGGCTGGTCTTAAACTCCTGATCCCAAGTGATCCGCCTGCCTCAGCCTCCCAAAGTGCTGGAATTACAGGCGTGAGCCACCATGCCCGGCCTTTTTAAACGACAACAAAAAAATACATTATATCTTTGTTATGAAACATTATTTATATCCAAACATTATTTGAAATCCATATGATCTGTCACTTTGCAAGTTTAGCTCCTCCATTAGGCAATCATTTCTTCAAGGAATATAATCTTAGTTAACATATTTGTCTTCATAACTCTAGGGCCCTCCATGGTGTTTAAATGAGAGAGTGAAAGAAAGAAGAATTTAAACTTTTGTGCTCCTCAGCAATATTATATTTAAGGATTTTTACATATCAATATTTTCTCATGCTCTCAAAATGTATCAAAGAAAGTTAATAAGCATATCTGTTTCTGGGGGATAATTTAACCAATTTTACACTTGTGGCAGCATCTAGGTATGCAATTACAAATAAAATGTTCTTGCACTTTTTAAAAGTGCAGTTACTGTTTACCTGAGTTGTAAAAAACTATAGATATCTGATGAATTTTGCCTTGGATATGCATTTTTGCTTATTTTGGCACAATAGTGAGTCTCCTTATCAATAGTAATGATTTCTTACATGTCTCAACATGTCCCAGTGGAAAGATCTTTGAAGATTATCTATTCCAACTGCCTTCAATATATAGATCAGGAAAGAAAGTACAAAGAGGTGAAATCTTGGACTTGCCTTCATGGACTGTCCTATTTCGCTTCAGAAATAGGCCTCCATGAGCACGTATTGTTTTCTGTATTATATCCTTTGGCTTTTTATGACCTACTATTTCACCTGATAACCACAATATTATTATTTGATGAATTACATATTATTAGACATTTCCCCCCCAAAATAACCTATCCCAGTAGTCAGCAAACTATGACTCTTTGTAGAAACAGTTTCCTGGTCTCTGTCTTATACTATGATCTAAATAATGTGTATTCTGTGAAGAGACAGACAGTTTAGCTGTGCATAAGCAAGTTGGTTGCTAACCCTTGTGCAGAAACAGAGACTACACTTTAAAAAGGCAAACACTTTTTCTACTTCCAGCTACTTGGATGTTGGACCTGAGAGGGGTTAAGGTGACAGTAAAAGCCTCAATTAAAGTGAGAAAGAATGGGTTCTGGAATAAAAGAACTCAAAGGGCAAAATAAAATATGGGAAATGCTTTCGGCTAGAAGATTAGTATCTCCTTATCTGAGAAAAGAAGTCTCAGTGGGAATCAGGTAAATGTATAAAGGAAAATTCTTTGGTCTTGTTTTAAGTTTAATAATGAATAAGCCCAGTAGTTTAGGACTTTAGAGATTTTAAAACCTGAGTGCAAAGTGGGAAAAGAACAGAGTGAATTTTCTGAGTGAAAACGAAGAGCCTCATCCTGAAAGGATATCTCTGTGTGTGTATGTGTGTGTGTGTGTGTGTGTGTGTGTATTGAGGGTGTACACGCCCATGTTTACCAGAAACAGTGGCTGGAGATCAATGTCCAACATGAAGCCAAAATATTTCTATTTAAATTTTAGCCCTAAATGTGCATATGTCACAAGAATTCTGTGAATATATTAAATCATATTTTAATTGATGTTTTTATGAAGAATGTGTTGCTTTTGAAAGAAAGAAAAAGGAATGATGATCTCCAAAGTAACCTGAAAAGACTGTTGAACTAGAGTTCAAGAGCTATGGGACGCTAACCAAATCTCTAGACTTTACTATTTGACATTTAAAACATGAGAGCTGAACTAAAACTTACCTAAGTTCTTTCCAATCTTAAATGCTATATCCAGCATCCAAAAGCTGGGGGCAGTAGCAGGAAGAGGGTGGTGGCAGTTATAAATAAACTATAGTAGGGGAAAGTAGAAATTGTTATGAACTATTTTGACACAGGGTTTCTATAAGAACCAGCCAGCACATCATTTTGGAAACATAATCCCTTATGGTATCACTATCACGATCATGGTCCAAACAATATTGCAATTTATATCCTGGTAGGCTACTGTGGCCTGGTTAGGAAATTGATATACTATTTAGCTTTCTCCAGTGACTGCATTTCAGAAAAATAGGTATACACACAATTAAATGACATGTTTAACAGATTCAAGTTACATTAACTGTTTTTAGCTTTTTAAATATTATACCTCATGTCTGTAATATAAATTTAATTATGGTTTCCATCCATGAGGGCAGTGATGGTCTGCGTGACATTAAAAGTGATGGTTTGTTAGCAATATCCTATTTTACAGAAAAGCATTGTGAGATGTGTGACAATAATAAATAGTTATATCAAAAATGAATTAAAACCGCTATATAAATAGGTTTCTGGTTTTAGGAAACAGCCTGGCACAGTTAAAATCATACTGCTTCCTGAACACAGTTTAGAGAGTCAGGCAATATTAAAATTAAATACTCTATCCATTTAAAGTAGCACTCCAATAAATATATATAGTATTTAGCTTATTATAAAATAATGGAAGAATCTTCTTATATTAAAATCTCACAGAGTGCCAATATTCCTATAATCATGGTAATAATAATTTAGAATATGCCCTCTCACAAGAATCTAGGACAGTCTACAAGTAATAAACAAAAAAATAAAGCAATGTGGGCTCACTGCCCAGATGATCTCAAATATGTATAATGGAACAAAGAAAGAAAAGAAATACTTATAAGCAAAATCACTCCATGAAGGAAGAAAAAATGGAATAGTAATTGGTCAAAATTGTGGTAGAAAATAATTATAGGGTGCTCATGAATCTCCTTTATAAGGAGCTATGTGTATCTAAGAATATTTTTTCCTGCTTTAGAATTCTTCAGAAGTCCCTTTGAGATAAATACAAAAGAAACAAAGGAAGCTACCTGTACATCTACCATTTTACAACACAAGAAAACTGCAACTGACGTAAAATGTGCAAATCTGCCTTAACCATGTTAATTGGAAAATCAGCATATTCCAATTAGAAATTCTTCCTCTCAAAACAGACATTATGTAAAATGAATTACATTTTTATTGGTAAATAGCAATTTGTTTTACATTCCGAAAATTGCCTAAAATTGCTCTCTAATGTCCTATTGATGTGACATTGCAGTTTATTGAACCACAAAACACTTTTGCTTTTTTCAGTTTTAATTTTTTTAATTTTAATGAAATTTTGTTTTGTTTGAGCTTTACGAAGTTAAATAACCAGTCAATAAAATAAACCAATATACCTATGTATTCAATATTCAACTCTCCTAGATTTTATTGGATACTCACTTAACTCACTCAGTTAACTCACTTAACTCACTGATTTTTTGCTTTCCTATGTGATTAGTTCAATTAGTCTTTCATTCATCTATCTATTTATTTATTTTATAAAAACAATTGAGTTTCTACTTCATATGTAATACTGTGCTAGGTATTGTATTAAAAGGATAAATATAATTCCTGGTCACAAGGCAATCAAAAAATAGTAGACATTAAAAATAAGTAATGTAATGAGGGTTCATAAGCTCTAGTTTCCAATATCCAATACAAAACATAGATTTCCAAGGGTTATACAAGAGTAAGCAGTTCATAAGTGCATAGATGTAATTATATTGGAATTTTAAATGTAATTTTAAAACATTTATAACCCCAATAAGGTACTCAACTAATATTTCACACGTTAGACCTTTCGAATGCCTACCCTCACACTTCAGTTGATGTAAACTACCCCGGTTTAAAAGCACACCTCACCCCTAGGAAGGGACCAATATGCCCTATAGGTTTTGGCTACTTTCTCAAATTGGATATGGGTGGGAACACAGGAAAATATCCACTTGTAAGGATCATAAATGCTCTGTAAAACAGAACAATTTATTTAACTTTACCTTCTAATTTACTAGGATAGAAGAGTAAAATGTGACATTTCCAGTCTTACCACAGACCTATACTTGTGCTTGTAATTTGCAAACAGTGTAATTCTTTACATACTTTGTTATTTCCACTGCATTGTTACTGAACCTGATTCTAAACAGACCTGTTTTTTAAAATTTTTCAGGAAAGTAAATGTGGATAGTATGAATGATACTGTAGTAACACCAGAAATAATACATTTGTAATAAGGATGTTTCTAAGCTGTTTTGGAAAGTAATACAATTCCACCAATGTTTTTTATTTGATACATTGTATGCTGGTGGCAGGAAAGAACTGACAAAAATAGATGTCTTCAACTCAATAAAAACGTATTTGCCACCAAGGCATCTATAAAGGTTCTTTTGACTATGCATTTTTGGAAACAACATTCCATTTGATTGTGTCACATCATAAAGATCTCCGGGGTGCAAAAGAAAATAGAGGTTGGAATGAGAATTGTGACTGTAATCCACCATCTCTCATTTTGTCCACTGCAAACTTCGAAATAATATCCCTTTGAAACTAATGGCATGTTTTATTTCTTTCTGTTTTAGGTAAGCACATTAATCATTCCAGTGTAATCAGACTGCATCAAGGTAAAACAAGAAAAAGTGGTGAAATTATATCTTATAGCAATGTTCAATATATAAATATATATGTGGTTTTGAAAAAAATGTTTTAAAGCCAATGTTCTTTTAAAATTTTTTTCAACTCTCATTACATTCACAGGGTACATGTACAGGTTTGTTAGATGGATGCATTGCATGATGCTGAATTTTGGAGTATATTGATCCCCATCACCCAGGTAGTGAGCAGAGAGGCTAATAGGTAGTTTTTCAGCACTTTCTTCTCTTCCACTCTCCCTACTCTGGTAGTCCCCCATTGTCTGTTATTCCCATCTTTATGTCCATTTGTACCCAATGTTTAGCTCCCAAGCTCCCACTTATAAGTGAGAACAGGCTATATTTAGTTTTCTGCTCCTGCATTAATTCACTTAGGAGAATGGCCTCCAGCTGAAACAATGTTGCTGCAAAGGGCATGATTTTGTTCTTTTTTATGGCTAAATAGTATTCCGTGGTGTATGTGCACCAGATTTTCTTTATCCAATAGACCGTTGATTTCATGTCTTTGTTATTGTGAGTAATGCCTCAATGACCAATATTCATTTTGGTGTTTGTTTTGTTATGACATCAATTCAGTAAACTCAATCTCTGTATTATATGGAATTTCTAAAATATTTATTAACTGCTAATATTATTAAAGGATTTATTCTTAAAGTAAGAAATGCAAATTAGAATAAATTTTAAATGCAAAACTACTTTGTTAGCAATGTGCAAATTTATATTTTTGCAGCATGTATTGCATCTAAAAATAAAATATAAAAAAGAAGTGATTTTCAAATACAAAAAGATACTTCATATACACATTGATTTTAAAGAATGAACAGTTTGTAAAGATCATACATACAACAGAAAAAATTGAGGACTATTAATAAATATTATTTATCATTCTGAAGATTAGTTAAAAACATATAAGGAATAAACTTCTCTGTAAAAAATGAATCAATCATTTCCCTAGGGAAAATATGGATTGTCTGTAAAATTCACAATATTGCTTTTTGTAAACTAAATCAAATTCTATTTTAACATGCTAGTTTTGCATTCACAACTTAGAGAAGAGGCCAAGTTTAATCATAGTTATGAGGAAACACATGTTCCAATGCTTTCTAGAGATACGTGTAATATCTAAATTAATATATTCTAAAAAATATTTGTTCTGCTTCCAAAATAGAAGATTGCTTATAATTATTTTAAATTTAGCCTGCTTATTTCATGCTTAAGTTGGAGGCCATGAGAATTCAAGTTTGTAGAAGCATATTCTATCCAGTATAGGCAGGCATTTTTAGAGATGCAAAACCAAAATTAGTTCTTTTTGGAACAAAGTCCTCAAATTGGTAGTTAAGGAATCTACATGGCTTTAGAATTTTGTACTCTTGAGTCCTGCAATGCTGAAAGGGAAGGCAAAGTCTCATTTTGCCTTCTCAGAAAAAAAGGACAAAGTATTTTAATTAATCAAGACCCATCGTCATTCATTTATAATAGTTTGATAGTAAATAATAATTTACTTTTTTTTGATGATTATACATTATGCCACATCTCTGGGGTCCTTTGTAGTAGATGATCTAATAAAACAACATGAAAATGAAAAATATATGAATACGTGCTTTTACCCAAACAAGTAAAAATGTAAACCAAAGAAATAAAAACCTCAACAGCAAAATATTCTTTATCATATTATAAATCAGCTTATTTTATTGGCTTTTGTCATTTTCCTTTAAATAAAGAGTAGAAAAAACTTTTTTGGCATAAACTGTTAGTTGGATTCCAGTTAATTGATGCTTTACTTAATGTAAGCATTCTAGACTGCATGATATATGTTCCTTGTCCATTTGAGGCTATACTTTGAATGTAAATACCCAACAATGACATTATGAGTCTAAGATTGATAGTTATTTGATTTAGCAACATCTGTTGTTGTTTAATGTACTCCAAGCAGATGCTCTTTCTTGATATTCAACATACAATTTGACTTACTCTTATGATATAAACCCTTACCAGAAGAATGTTATTGTTATTTGAATATAGCTATTAGTATTAGCAATTGTATATGTCTTTGCTCAAACAAATGTCTATAGACTGGGTCAAGCATCGTTAACTTCTATAAGAATGGCAATGGACAAACTCTTTGAATCACTTACTTCTTACAATGACATAATTCTTTCATGTGCCAGGGCATCTAGAGTCATTTTTTTCAATTAGCAATTTTTTTCTTTTAATGTTCTTGGAGGATTAATGAAAACACAACAATATGAACTATCAGAATGATGTGCTTTTCTATGTTCGTCATTGTATTTTAAACCTGCCACATTACACAAAGAGTTGTAATGAGAATAATACCTGGAGACAGACACTACTGTTTATTTGATTCTCTATTCACGTTTTGTAATATGCCTCAAAACAATAAAAACCTACATAATTGTAACTGATCACATTGTTTCATGGTTTATATGAGTACTCACAGGGATTTAGGATAAATATAAGAGTGATCATCCTGAGGATTAGAGAATTCTGATCAAGGTTTTACTGGGCAGAGAATATCTTTGAAATGTAAGCAAAAATGTGTTTGTCCTAGGAAGGACATTCAATATATATAATATCATAGTAGAGATTACATGCACTGTAACTCTAAGAAGACCTTGATGTCCTATAATGGGATATGCATCTGATTCCCCTTTTCTGAGAAAGTCTCTTATTCAGTGTTAACAATCCAATGATATCTTGTGACCTTTTCTATGCAAATATGAACAATTTGAGGCTATCACAGTCTCTCATGAGTTGCTCCTTAAAGGGACATTCTTAATTGCTTTTATAATCTCAATTTTATTTTAACCTCCATTACCTATAATATCTTACTTGAAGCTTGAAATTAACTTTTCTTTCTTCAGCATTTTATCCTTTCCTATTTCGGTAAGCAATGATTTTACTTTTCCACCAAAGTTTTAGGGGGTTTCATCCAGCATAGACATGATTAATTCACTGTGATAAAGTATATCTTTATTACCCTATTCTATTAATCACATTCACTGAAAGAGAAGCATGTCTTTCTTTTCTATGGAGACTTTTCAAAGATATACTGTCCTTTTGCATATAGAAGTAAAACTAATGGTGTTATAAAAATAGTACAAAAAGTCTTTAGATATTTTCTTGGTAATTAGGCTGTTTTATACCCTCTCACTTAATTTCTTGTTAACTCAATCCTTTTGTAATCATCAGATGGGCATCTGTTAAGTGACTGACCTAGAAATCAAAGTTGTAACCTTAGTCTACTCAGAATAATACTCTAAACAATAATGGGAACCCCATTTAGGCTATAATTTGAGAAAGAGAATAAGATCAGTTAACAAATGTAACATCACCTTTTAGATTAGTTAACAAAGATAACATCGCCATTAGATTTTCGAAGATAACACCATCTTTTTTTGATGTTAACAAAGATAACATCATCATTAGATTTTCTTTTCTACCTAAGAGTTTCTCTTTTCTTTTGTTTGTTTGTTTGTTTCTTTTTTTTTTTATTATTATATGGAGTCTGGCTCTGTTGCCCAGGCTGGATTGCAGTGACATGATCTCGGCTCACAACAACCTCTGCCCCCGGGTTCAAGCGATTCTCCTGCCTCAGCCTCCCGAGTAGCTGGGATTACAGGAGAGTGCCACCACGCCCTACAGGAGAGTGCCACCACGCCCACTAATATATATATATATATATATATTTTTTTTTTTTGTATCTTTAGTAGAGACAGGGCTTCACCATGTTGGCCAGGCTGGTCTCAGACCTCGAACTCCTGACCTCGTGGTCCGCCCACCTCAGCCTCCCAAAGTCCTGGGATTACAGACATGAGCCACTGTGCTTGGCCCTAAGTGTTTCTTTGAAACAGGCTAAATATGCCATCCCCTCCTTAAAGTTAAATGTATTTAAATATGTTCCTATTACTACTGATTTATGAGGCAATGACAATGCATATTTCCTTATTCTAAAATTAAATAAGGCAATTTAGCCTTTGTGTTTGTGTAATTAAACAATAGTGACAGCTTTAATTTTTAAACTACACAAACTTGTCATCCTCATAAGGAAAGGAAATCAAATACAACTGTAATAACAAGTGATTAAGCATTTTAAAGTTTCAAATGGGCAGTGAATGTGCACTTAGAAGAAAATGTTAATAATATTCATGATCATTTCAGTTTCCATGCCACAGTCCTCAAATGTTTGAGTCTGTGATGTGAATAATCAATTCATGGTCAAATTTGGCCCATGAAGTTGAAAGTTCTCCTAATGCAGATCCTGTGTTCCATTGTCTTTTGTGAGCTCCTTTTACTCAGAATAGTGTTTGGCATATTTTTAGGCTGTTATGAATATTTCTGTTATTGTTAGTGATAGATTTATTTGTTAGATTATTTTATTGATAAAAGCTCTGTATTGGTTCCATGCCAGATTCCACACAACAGAATTGACTTTCACAAATTATTTATTAAAAATTATCTGTCTCAAGCTTCTTCTTATAGTAAGGAAACATAAATAAGTTGGTAGGCAGGTAGGTAGGTAGATAGAAAAAATAGAAGGAAAATCATAATTTCCTTTAAAACTAATTGCTCAATATCATACTCTTTTCAATTACCAGAGATTTTAGTAATACAACCATTAGTTTCATATAGTAGTCTTTTAAATAAGCAGTATATATTTAGTGTAGCCTTTTTTCCCCAGAATCTGTGCCAACTTCTTAAGATACAAAAGAGATGACATGAAACATGTTCTCAACGTCACAATCCAATTATAGGTCTATTATTTATAAAAAGAGATATAAGAAAGGTAGTTCAACTGGGGCAAATAATTTCAAAATGGACAAAAATAATTTATTTTTAAAATCATACTTCCAAAATTGTACCTTTGAACTACCTCTTTCAATGGTTAGACATTGGCAACTGAATAAATGCAAAGGTACATTAATAAATTAAATTTATTTATTTAATACCATTTACAGTTTATATTTTACTCAAATCCTTTTCACTTCCTTAATTTTTCCAACTGATCACAGAATACCTGTTTTCTATTGTTCCTTTGAACACTTTGTCATTTTTATTTATGCACAATTTTCTAACAATATATTAGTATATAGTATACAGTATAAAGACAACTACACCACTCTGGTTATTTTAAGCTTAAAAGAATAATCTTATAATCTATAGAATCACAATCATGGATCTATAATAACCTAGTCTCTTAGCTCAAGAAAAATAAAATTATTATTGTGTGATGGTTAGATCTTTTAAAAAAAAACACTAAATTTCAATTTTACTCACTTTTATACATAAAATACTTCAAGAAAAGCTTACTGTAAAAAATTATTGATGCTACCATTACTTGTGGTTTAGCTTTAATAATAAAAGTTCTGGATCTATTTCAAATGAATTATTTTGTTGTTTTAGATCTCAGATTATTAAAGTACTAAGAAATTATTTTGAATTCTAGGATTTATAGCCCTTGGCAATTTCTAAGCCAAGTGCCATTGTAAATGAGAATATATATCAACTTATATATTTAATCTCAGCTGAAAACATACCCTCTGTACTAACCTAAGTGATTCAGTTGTATTATTTCAGGAATCTTAGGCTGTCAATATCATTAGAATTATATCGTCATGATTTTAACAAGATGACAGCCATGACTATGCTTAACTCTAAAACTCAATTTTGTTAGATTTTATTTTGTTCTTCAAGCTGCACAGTTATGCAGACAGTATTGAAGATGTTTTCCAAATATTTCCCCATTAGTTTAATTAAAAATATATGAAGACAACTAGAATAATAAAAGATTAATTATTTAGAAAGCAGCTTATTTAGTACTTATACCCCATTTCCAAATAGTGGGCAGAATCAAATTATGGAGACAAATATAATTTCTTACTTATTATTTAACCTCTGGTTCAAACACTGATTTAAGTTATTTATTTTTGTAGGGGTAGGGAATGGCTCTAAGTGTATGGCGAATATAGTGCTCATTTTTGTTCCTATGTGATAGGCCTCTTTCAATACTTTCTTCTTATTTAGAAAGACAAATGCATGACTCTAGGACACAATTCAGCTATGTTTTCTTTTTTTGTGTGTGTGACAGAGTCTCTCTCTGTTGTCCAGGCTGGAGTGCAGTGGCACAATCTCAGCTCACTGCGATCTCTGCCTCCCGGGTTCAAGCAATTCTCCTGCCTGGAGACTACAGGTGCGCACCACCATACCTGCCTAAGTTTCATATTTTTAGTAGAGATGGGTTTTCGCCATGTTAGCCAGGCTGGTCTCAAACTCTTGGCTTCTAGGGATCCTCCCACCTCAGTCTCCCAAAGTGCTCGGATTACAGGCATGGGCCACCACGTCTAGCCTCAGCTGTTTTTCTGAAACTAAGAATCAACTTTGGTTTCCAATAACATGTTCTTCATTTCTTTCTCAGACTTCAACAAAAGCATCTTTAACATTCATATTCTTACCAACATTTCGTTTAAAACAATCTAGGCTTTTTTTTTTTTTTAAATCAAATCCCAAAGTTACTTCTACATTTGTATTTGTTACATCAGCTCTCCACTGCCAGGTAACCACATCTTATTGTTTATATGAGCAAAAATGTTTTCTTTCACAGTTCTGGGAGCTGGAAGTCTGAAATTAGTTTCACCTGGGAAAAATTAGTGTTCGTGGGGCCACGCTTCCTCTGGAGTTTTAAGGGAGGAATCTGTTCCTTGCCCCTTCCAACTCCTGGTGGCTGCTGGCATTCCCTGGCTTATGGCTGCATCACTTCAGTCTCTGCCTCCATGGTCACTTTGCCTCCTCCTTTTTTCATGGTCTCCCTCTTCCACACTCTCATTAAGGACATTGTAATGGCATTTAAGGCCTACCCAGATGATCTGGGATAATCTCTTCATCTCAAGATCTTCAATTTAGTCACCTCGGCAAAGATTTTTTTCTTATAAAATAACATTTACAGATTTCAGGAATTAAGATTGGATGTCTTCACGGAACATTTTTCCAGCCTACTACCAGGGCCATTTTAGAATTCTGCCTACCATATTCCTGAAAAAAGAAAGTTATACTATATTTTTCAGAGTACTTCAGGACTAGTCATATTTGTTTTATTAATTCCCTTTAATCATGGAATATAGTATAATGTAAATAATTATAAATATATGTATAATAGAGCATTACACAAATTGTCTAGTTTAGGCAGAGCATACATTTGTCATTACTTTCATCTCTAATTCATTTCAAGTCCACATTCTCGCTTGTTTGGAAATGATGGCAGTAGGGAGGTAGTAGCACAAGCACCCCGTTTTTGCCTTTCTTAGACAACTATAGCAGTAATATATATTTGATAATCCTTTACAAAGTAAAGAATACAAAATAAATATGTACTTGAGCGATATATTTCCCTCGAAGTCATGCTTAGTTTTTTTATTTTTAATCTTATTTCTTTTGTAAAATCATATTGGATTTTATTCTCAGCCAATTACTTACTCAATTATATCGTTATAGCAATCATAAATCAATATTTGTATTATATAACCTGGTTCTTCCACTAATTAGATCTGTGGTTTAGTTTCTTTTGTTTATATTGGAATAATACTTACCCAACATATTCATTGTAAAAAGCCAATATCGTATGGCTTATATTTTGCTAGTGTAATGAAGCATTTTTGTCATTTTAACCTGACTCATTATAATATTAATAAACACGACATCAACTTTTTACATGTTTTAGTAAGTAAAGTTCTAAGAAGAGCTTGGACTGTAAGCTAATGACTACAATGCAATATAAACACAGAAATGACATTGAGTTAATTATAGAGTTAAAGTAAACCCGCAGCTACATTGATTTTCTATTCGGAAGAAATAGTGAATACTTTGGCAAAGTTCCTGGTACTATTTTAAATATATGAATACAAGTTAGAGAAAGCAATCCCGTAGAGGTTTTATTTTATCTTTATACCCACCGAATTTGTAAGGAGATTGCTTGATGAGGAAAGATTCCACTCCACTGAGTAAAAAGTGTGAAATATGTTGCAAAACAGAATGTGTATTTTTATTAACAATTAACATTAATTTTCTCAATCAGATGCACTAAAATCTACCAACAGTACTATTGTCCCTGGAGACTATTATAAAATATCAGTATGTTAATTCATTTTAATTTCATATGCATAATATGCTTATTATTGTTTATGATTGATTAAAGGACATTGTTACAGAGGTAAACTTCAACTCTTTCGTTTAGAACTCAAAGTGAACAATATCATCTGTGAATTATTTACATATGTAATTCACAAGGATTTTCATAAAAAGTGTCCTTTTAAAAAAAGTAGCATACAGATTATTATATATTGTTTATTGAAAATTGTCATGTATATAAAATATTTATTTTATTTAGTATATAAGAAACACAAATGTAAAGAAAACATTTTCACACTAACTGATCAAAATATGTTGATTTCTGCATATATATCTAAATATATTAATATTTTAGTCCATGTGTACAATGCTAATTCTGAATTTTTATAACTACTAAGAAGGAAAATAATGTTTTAAGCACTTACTCTGTGCCATGTACTGTGATACAGAAACTTTATTTGCATTGCGTCAATGCATTCTTGCAATTATATTTTTAGGAAGAAAAAATATTGCCACTTTCCTATTTGAGTCATAGCTGTAGGAAACTATTTGGATGTTTATATAGATTCATCTTCTATTAGACATTTATCAGTCATCTCTAGCTTATATCAGAGAGGAAAAAGTAATACAAATTTGTCTGGTTGTCTTAAGAAATTTATTTAAAGAAATACATTAATTAAAAAAATGAAAGTGAACCTGGGCAAATTTGAACTAGGTATTTTTGGACATGCATGTTTTTAAGTAATAACTGAGTTTAATTCCAAATTATTGCAGATTAAGGGGTGGATTGTATTGTTTTTCATGGTGGAAAAGTTTTTGGAATGGCTTCTTAGTATACTAAACTGTGATAATCAGGATAGCTTGAGTATGGCCAGTTTCCAGTGAGAATTTATGCTATTCCATAAAACAAAATGTGGTACAACATAACTTACCTACAAAAATGAGTATTGCCATGAAGTTACATGATACACCATCTGATTTCCTATGTAAACTCATAAAATTATTCAGTGATCTACTTTTCTTAATTCGTCTTCAGCAAAGTAAAAATGAACGCAATTGTTTAGAGAAAGCCTATGTAAATCCACTTTTCCTCAAAAATGAAACTCTAGGAATAAAGCAGCTATTTTAGAACAGATTTCTGTGATTGTTTGCATTCTCACCTCAGCTTTGGATGTGCCACAGTAATATATTTTTATTATTTTCCTTGATTTTAGGCAAATCCATTATATAACTGAATAAATGGCCTCTTTTTCCCCAGAAGAATTACATATCCATGTATGAAAGCTTCATAGATCTAAGCTAACTATGTTTTTACACTCAGTGCTATCAGCTACTTACGGCTATACGCTTATCGATATCATTTGCATTTAAGTGAGATGATTAGGTCACTCTTTTATGTTTGCGTCTTTGTTTACTGAAACAGCACTGTTTAGGATTTGTTTGCTTTCATGATTGTAAGCATGTGATTCTCCCTGAAAGCAATTCTTTTCTGTAAGTGAATATTTGGAAAATGAAAAGTAATTAAAGATTAACAAAAGTAAGCAAAATGGATTTTTAAAGCCCCTTAATTATTATTTAAGACACAATGGGCATTTAAGATAACCAATCTTCTGCAGAAAATTTAAAACCCTGTAGCTAATTTACATATTCCGTGAGTTTATTGAATTCGTTCACATTTGACGGGTGAGGGAATTGTGGCAGAGAATTTAAGAGATTTACGGAAGGTCACTCGAAATCAGTGAGAATCGAAAAGGACATAGAAAGCACTTTTTGTGTATTCTTGGTGGTGATACTCAGTAGCTGAAAATGAATGCTGCACTGAACCACACTTACTGATGGGATTCTGCCCTCTCCCTCAGAAATGAGAGTCCAGAGCAGTACCAGTCGCTTTTCTGGGGCGTGCTAGCTAGCAAAAGATTTTCACAGGTCTCTGAGGGAATGCTTATGGGTTTGGGGAAATAACCCTCTAATGTCAAAGACAGTATTTATTTTTGTTTCCTTTGTATTTTTGTAGAAGTCTTAGCTATTTCATCCCACTAATCTCTTCTCACTTCACTATTCTGTTCATTCATTCAGGTTTTACTTTCTGTTAGGTGATAGGCAGTATACATCACGATATTATCCGTCCCCTTCCCTGTTCGCCTTCCCTTTAGTTTGTTCATTCACCTTGCCCAATTATACATTAATAATACATTAATGATTAACAATACTTTGAAAATAATCTGAAAATATTTCAAAACTTATTTTTTCCTTTTCTGATGGTAATTCACCTTTTTTCTGTTATATTTGAAGCGAGTTAATTAAATCATGTTTGTAGAAATGCTTCATGCAGTTCGTCCCACAAAGTCGATGTAAGATAAATGACAATTTCTGCCATTTCTTTATAGCATAGAGGTAATTCCATTAAATAAAGATCAGAAACTTAATACTGTAGTCAAATTGTGATGTAGCAAATATTGACTTTTTAAACTACATATGGCAATTCATTGTCATTGTTATTAGTATAAACAAGTCTGGACAATGTAGTTCCAGAGAAACAGGTTCATAGAACACATATATTAACTGTTTTTGGATCCCATTCTGTTTCTCTGTTCTGTTCCACCAAGAAATCAAGAAGCTTGTGAATTTGCTGCCTGTTGTAGGAGCAATGAAGATACTCATTTACTGACTCTCAAGTCTAAAATAGGAAGGGAGAAAGTATCAAGAAATACAAATCTGAGGAATTTGGGTTTACAGAGTGATAGAAAGACACAGGGCTGATAGCTCCTGTATCCCAAGCATCAGGAATTCTTGGAGAAAGAGAAGAGAGGTCACAGGTAACACCATGATTAGGGATTTAGTATGAGAAATGAAAGAAACACAATGTAATTTTATAGCCCAGCTGCTACCAAGAAACAGGACCACATTATTTGTAGCCTACTTTTCCAAGAAAAAAAAAAAAAAAAGAAAACTTGAGGAAACAGCAACAAATATTTCTTTTGATCAGACCCCCACACATTTGCTAGATTAAATTTACATTAGTGTGTATATATTGCCTACAAGCTGTAAGCTACTTGAAGGTAACACAAGGCTTTGGGCAGATCCCCACACATCCTGATTTATTTCTTGCACTTGAAGCAGAGCATCTTGGCAATAGAAAGCCTTCAATATATGGTGAGTTAATAAGTGGCAAAACACATTTCTGTTTCAAATCTAATCAGAGATAAAGGAAGGAAGGCTGCATCCCAGAAGTTTGAGTTAGGAGTGTCTAGTTTGGATTCCCAGAGTCATCACTTGTGCATAAGCTAGGGCAAGATAAATGAATTATGCATCTCTTTCTTCATTTGTAAAAATTCGTTAATAAACATAACTCAAGGCAGTTTGAACAGGAAAATATAATTATATAAATAAAGGGCTTAAGTATATGTTAAACAATCAAAGTGATAACTGAAAATATTTGGCTGGAAAACTCATGTAAATTTCCATTGGCAAGGAAAAGGATTCCTTTTCCAAAATATGTATCTAATTGTTTGATATCTGAAATTTTTTTCTGGAGCTTCAATTACAACAATCCTCAGTAAAAAAAGAAAATAATAATAACTTATCAATAGTAGTGAGTCTCATTCATTATATAGGAAACTGATTTTATTATCTTCTTTTTACTTCATTTTTACTGATTTTATTATCTTCAATTTTACTACTTTCTTTTTTACTGCAACACATTATTAAAGTATAGAACAATATGGGGTCTATAATGAAAAAGGTATATCCATAGAGAGGAAAAATTGAATGCATGGATAAAACAGAGTTTTGTTGATCTATTTTAAATAAACAGAAAATAAGTAGGGATGCATTTGTACACTGTAGCCCAACAAAAAAATAAATTGATCATTCATTGGTTGTCTAAATCAGAGATAAATTTAAAATATTGTTAATTATTTAGGGACAGACCTTGTGAATGTCAAGATGTACATATGCTTCCAAGTTATAAGGAAATCATCAAACACTGTGAAGATCATCCACAAGGAGCTCTACCTGTAATCAAACTAGGAATGTCTTGCCTTTGTGAGTTACCATCCCCAAAATAAATTGACTAAAGTTTGATGGATTTTATGAGCCTTCCCAAAGAGGCAGCTTTTTATTTCATTGATTATCTTTGTTGTCCTGTTTTCTATTTTATTAATTTCCACACTGATCTTTATTATTCTATTTTTTGTGTATAATTTTTTCTTCTTTTTCTAGTTTCTTAATATGAATGATGTCATTGATTTGAGACCTTTCTTATGTTTTAACGAATGTACTCAGTGCTATAACTCCATTCCTAAGTACTGGCATTTTACCCATTGTGACACCTTGTTTTTCATTTTCATTTAGTTATTTATATGTTTGCTATTTAGTTTTCAATAGTTGGATATTACTAAAAAACTTTCTGCCATTGTTCAAAGAATATACTTTATATGACTTGAATCTTTTTAAATTCAATAAAATTTGTTGTATGGCTTAGCACGTGTTCTATCTTCATAAATGTTTTACAGGTACTTGGGAAGAATGTATAATCTACTGCTGTTGGGTGGCATATTCCCAAAATTTTGATTAAATTAGTTGATAAGGTTGCTCAAGTCTACTATATCTTTACTGATATTATCTTAATTTTTTCTGTCAATTATTGGCAAAGGAGTTTTAAATTTTCAGACTGTGATTATGGATTTGTCTATTCCTCCTTAGAGTTCCATTAGTTTTGCTTTATGTATTTGAGCTTACACTCAATACACATGCTCAATATTACATGTGTAAATCCTTAGTGTTTTTATGTCCTCCTGATGAACTGATACCTGCATTAAGAGATTATATTCTTCATTCATGGTAGTATTTATTGTTTTGAAACCTATTTTGCCTGATATTGATATAGTTACTTCATGTTTCTTTCCTTGGGAGTGGAACATCACACATCAGGGCCTGCCAGGTGGTAGGGGGCTAGGGGAGGGATAGCATTAGGAGAAATACATAACGTAGATGACAGGCTGATGGGTGCGGCAAACCACAATGGCACCTGTATACCTAGGTAACAAACCTGCACGTTCTGCACGTGTATCCCAGAGCTTAAAGTATAGTAAAAAATTAAAAAATAAAACATAAAGTTTTACATATTAAAATAGTTTTAGATTTACAGAAAAAATTCAAAGATTGAATGGAGAATCCTCATGTATTCAGCATCCAATTTCTTCTGTTATTTACATCTACCATTAATATGTCACATCTCTTACAATCAGTAAACCAATCATGCTAGGTTATTTTCAACTAAAGCCCATGCTATATTCAGATCTTTAGTTTTAATCTAGTGCTATTTTCCTGTTCCAGAATGACAGCCAAGATGCTGACATTATATTTAGTAGTCATATGTCCTCAGGTTATTCTTGGTCGTGACTATTTCCAGCTTTCTTCTATTAGTGGTAGTGTGCTGTGTCTTAGTTTATCCTATTTGTGTCTTTATAGTTGAAATATGTTCCTTGGAGGCAGCATATAGTTAGTTAGGTCCTGATTTTTATCAATGTGATAATCATTGTCTCTTAACTAGGACAATCTTTGGTTTTTAATCATTCCTACCTAATATGATTATTTATTTGGTTAAGTTTATCATCTTCTTATTTTGATGTGTCAACTTAATTTATTCTCTGTTCCCATTTTCTTCTTTTTTGCGTTCTTTTGGATTTGCTATTTATGACTCTTTTTAAATCGCTTTTTGGGTTTATCAGTGAAACTCTTTTAAAGTATTTTAGTAGTTGCTTTAAGATGTATAGTTTACATCTTTGATTTGTCACACTGTACTTTTAATTAATATTATGCCACTTAATATAAAGAAAAATAACCCACAATTTCATACTTCTCCTTCTCTCCTAGTATTTGTGCTATTATTGCCATTCTTTTTACCTTTACATAGTTATAAACCTTACACTGTATCATTATCATTTTTATTTTAAAAAATCAATTATCTTTTCTCTCTGACACCCTGTTCTAAGAACTGTAGCCACCTCGTGAGTCAGCCAGGCCTCTCCTGGATTTCCTGTTCCTCTAGTGGAACTTGAAAATTCTCTCAATATAGTAAATTGGAAATTTTATACCTCATCCCATTTGTCTTTGATCTTTCAAGGCTCACTGTCCTTTATTTCCTTACAACAAGTGTTTTGAAAGCTGGCATTTCATATATTTTGTTTGTTTAGTAGGAAGGTAAATCTGGTCCTTTTTATTAAATTTTGGCCTTCCAAAATAAGAGGAGAGTAGTTCTTTATGTAGTGATTTTTTGCAAGTGTTCTAACAGGAATTTAAATCTCATGTGGCAATATCAAATATACACACACACAGTTATGTAGCTTCTCAAATCCCAAGCCTCCTTATACTAGGAATTATGGAAGTAGGTTTTCAACAAAACAAAACAAAAGCGTAATGCTATGTAAGAATGCGATATAATAGGAGGAACACTGACTTGTGTCAGATGACCTGGATTAAAATCCAAGAATGTATCCCTGTGACTCTGAACAAATAATACAGCCCATTTGAAACTCATTTTCTTCACATAAAAAAACTGAATTAATAATTCCAAGCTTATAAGTTTTTATTGAAGACCAAAAATGAAACACTGTGTGGCTCACACTAGATCCCTAAAATGCTTTATTCTCTACTAAAATGGGTTAGATTTCATATCAACTTGTATGAACCTGAATGCCTAATATGTGCAAGACATCATCATGTGTTATAATTTACCCTATCAAAACTAAAAATACAAGTATTATCCCCATTTTATAGCTAAGGGAACTGAATATCCAAAAATAGATAATTATGGCTGAATTTACAAAATGAGTAAGAATTTGTTTAGGATTTGAACACAATTCAGTTTTAATCTGTGATTTTTTAACGCTCTTTCTGCAGGGATTAAGCTTCTTTGTCGTAAAATAATTTAAATGTATATTTTAGTTTTAGAAATATGGACAAAATACCAGATTTTCACATATCCTTCACAGACACTTGCTATTTTGTGTGCTAATTATATCTACAGTTCTATAGAGGCCAGGCACGGTGTCTTACACCTGTAATCACAGCACCGTGGGATGCCAGGAAAGTAGGATAGCTTGCAGTGAGAAATTTGAGACCAGACTGGGAATCTTTGGAGACATGGTCTCTACAAAATATTTAAAAATGAGCTGGGTGAGGTGGCATCATGTCTATACTTCCATCTACTCAGGATGCCAAGGTGAGAGGCTTATTTGAGACCAGGAGTTGGAGAGTTGGAGCCTACAGTGAGCTATGATCATGTCACTGCACTCTAGCCTGGGCGACAGAGCAAGACACTCTCTCCAAAACAAAGAAAGAAAAAATTCTGTGGAGTCTGTAGTTATGTACTATTACTTCTACAAACTCTATAAAATGGTAAATATTCAACATGCATTTCTGAATAAGTGAAATTCATTTTCTACACACTATATATGAGATAAATTATCATTATTTTCCTTAAGATATTGTTTTTGACAATGACATCTCAAAAGACTCTTAGTTGTAACCTGAAAAAAAAAATCAAAATGCACACCCATAAGGAAATAGCTACCACTTTTTTAGTTTCTGATTCAGCATGTTTTGGTTGTTTTTATAACATAACATGAATTTCTGTTATGCATAATACAAATTGACAATGTCGAAAAAGCAGCATTTCAGAAGCCTGGCAAATGCCATAACTACTCTTAAAATCACATCCTGCTATTTTATGTTAATATTTTAAAATGCTTTGCATTAACAATACTCTGAATCATTATAACGAGGATTGCATTTTTTCTCCAAAGAGTAGTATTTTATGCTCTTTTAGTATGACCTTTCTTTTAGTCTATTTTGAGTTCAGTCTATCTTCTTTTCTGTCAAGTATTATTTAGTAAAAATGTTTTAACAATTCATTGCTTATATATGATGTTTAAGACTGGATTTCTCAGTCTGACTCTGTGTCTTCCATCTGCACTTAGGGACAAAGATCACTTTTGCCACCATCTCGCAAGCACAGAAATCACCTTTCAAGTTTATACATTTTCCCACTAACCAAGCTCTCAGGGATCTCTCTTGCTGCTTCTTCATATTTCTCTCCTCAGGAACCTCTTCTGTCCCCTTCCTGTTGTCATTATCACAGACATCCTAAGTGCCACACATCAGTTTGCTGCTCTGCTTACCTATGTGGTTTTCTGAGGGAAAAATCCTAAAGTAGCTTAGTTCAAGAGTAACAATGGGAGAAACATCAGCATACTCACGCACACTCACATGCACACGTGCACACATAAAATCTTACTGTTTTCTCTTTATAGTTTAGTAACTATGACTTCAAAATGTGGAGTAAGCTTTCTGGGTTCAAATCCCAGCTCTTTCAGCAAATAACTGCATGACACTCGACAATATTGTTTAACCTCTTTGTGTTCCAATCTTCTTACAAATTAAATGAAAGTAGTCAATGTACTTACTTTTCAGTCTTCATTATGGCGTAAGCATAACCCTCTTCTAACCATAGCTACACTGATAAGTCTGGCATGTAATATTTATCAGGTAAAAGTTAGCTATGACTACTGCTGCAGATAATACTAATACTGTTACTATTGCAGTGAGTAGTACTGCTATAGTATACAAATAAAGATTCACTTGGTTAAAAGCATACCAGAGGCAAAATGTTGACATTGGTGCCTCCATTTTATGTACTTCTACACTAATCCCAGATTTAGAGAGTCACTACTAGTGTTGTTTATTTCTTTCTTATCCAAAATCTTCTCTCAGAAAAAATCAAAGCAATGAAATAAACAAAAACCAATTCCTTTAACCGTGATCATAAATAATATTTACTTTCCAAACATTTCTCTTTTTGATAGAAAGAGGACTGAACCTGGAAATAGTTAGCTTTATTAAACAATTTTTAGGAGTTAGAAAACTTTACATGTATCACTTTATTTAGTCATGTAACAACCCTGTCAGAAAAGGAATTATTAGAACATTTTATAAATGAAGAAATTAAAGTTCAGAAAAAAAATGGAATTATGTGGTCAAGGTCAGATATAAAATAAGAGTTGATAATGAGTGTCAAGACCAGTCTTTGCTGCCTTCTGAGATAAAGAGATGAGAACTTAAGTCTAAACCTGGAATTTCTGACTGAATTGCACTCTATACCTAGCTGACTAGAAAGGTATTTTGAGCACTTAGCGATTGGGTCTTTGCTAAGTACACCTGCAGTTATCCCTTAAAGTTGACATCTTCATGCTTCTGTGGCTTTCCCAAGCTTGAAGAAATAATTAAGCAGTAGGTAAGGTGACATTTGGATACATGCATTTTGAGCCAGAGCAGAGACAGCTGCCAGTCTTATCTTATATCCATTGATTGCTTCTGCCAATGATTTAATTAATTCCCAGCATATGAAAGACCTTGTTGCTCTTTTAGTATACTCACTATATGTGAGACCATAATTGCTAGAATGATTATACTTAAAACCATAAGTTTTATAGCCTCTGATCATCTTGGCTCTCTCTTTGAAACTCTTCAACGATTACTCATTGCAATAAAATTAAAACATGGTCTACCTTGTCTCTGACCTCCAGCTGCCACCACTGAAGCATCATGTGGAGCCCCATCCTCTCCGTCACTGCTTGCTCTATGCATTTACCTGCCCTCAGCATTTGGAACGTATTTCCACTATCCGGGCCTCTGGGTGCAGTTTTATTCCTTCTACCTATGATACTCAGATTCACTCTTCTGGTTAATTCATCTTCAGGTACCTGCTCCGATGTTATTTTCTAGAGACATTCTTTCTGAATTTCAATATCTTATAAATTAAATCCCTCTCTTATTTTTTCTGTTAACAACTTACTTTTTTCCTTCATAGCACTTATCTATGTAATAATTTTTATCCCACCTGGTAAATGCCAATGGGGTAGTGATATGGTTAGGCTTTGTGTCCCCACTCAAATTTCATCTTGAATTGTAATCCCCATAATCGCCATGTGCCAAGGAAGAGACTTAGTGGGAGGTGATTGGATCATGAAAACAGTGCCCCCCATACTGTTCTCATGATAGTGAGTGAATTTGCATGAGATCTGATGGTTTTATAAAAGTGTCTGACAGTTCCTTTTTCACACACTTGCTTGCTCTGAAATACCTGCCGCCACATAAGACATGTCTCTTCCTCTACCGCCATGATTGTAAACTCCCAGAGGCCTTCGCAGCCATGTGGAAATGTGGAACTGTGAGTCAGTTAGACTTCTTTTCTCCGTTTTTTTTTTTTTTTTTTTTTTTTTTGAGACGGAGTCTCACTCTGTCGCCCAGGCTGGAGTGCAGTGGCGCGATCTCGGCTCACTGCGAGCTCCGCCTCCCGGGTTCACGCCATTCTCCTGCCTCAGCCTCCCAAGTCGCTGGGACTACAGGCGCCCGCCACCACACCCTGCTAATTTTTGTATTTTCAGTAGAGACGGGGTTTCACCGTGTTAGCCAGGATGGTCTCAATCTCCTGACTTCATGATCCACCCTCCTTGGCCTCCCAAAGTGCTGGGATTACAGGCGTGAGCCACTGCGCCCGGCCCACTTTTCTATATAAATTACCCAGTCTTGGGTAATATCTTTATAGCAGTGTGAGAATGGATTAATACAGATAGGGACCATGTTTGTTTACCATTACAATCTTAGCATCTAGCCAAGTATGGCACATAGAAGGCACCTAATACATTCTTATTGGTAGGTAAAAGCATGATTAAAAGAAAAGATTGTGTCTTAGCAATTAAAATTATGTGGTCTTCAAAATCAAGTGGTTTATGTAAAAATACACACACACACACACACACACACACACACACACACACACACACACAAAATTCATTATTGTGGAATGTCAGGGGGTTCCTTAATATTCCCAAAACTCAGATTTCTTGTCTGTAACATGAGTTTTAAAATACCCTCTCCATCAGAATACTTTGAAAATTGTGTATGAAAGCTTCTACTCAGTATCTGTTGTTTACCTTCAGTTTCCATTCACGACTTAGCATTGGTTTTTACCTGTGAACCCGATTCACTGAATATCCTTCTACTAAAATCATAAATGCCTTATAAGAGCAGCTCTTCAGTTTTTGTCAGAATCATTATTATTTTGATTCATTTATATTTTTCCCCTCACAAGTTCCTAGCTAAATTTGTCATTAATTTTTTGATTTCAGTAAGTTGGAGAATAATTATAACACCTTTCACTCACCTCTGAAAATGAGACCCAAGGAGACATAAAGACACTTATTTGGGTTGAGATGGTGGTTGTTTCAGTGTAAGCAGTTTATTTTTTTGACAGTATGAACTGTGATAAATTATTTGGAGATGTTAGTGTCTGTAGTCTGGGGATGACTTGCCACTTGAAGAGTGAGTATAAAGGTATAAGCCAAAGAGGTTAAAAAAGTGTAAAATAATACATACTAGTGTTTGATTTTCCTCAAATGGATATTTTTATTTTGAGTGGCTCTAACATTTGCAAGAGTATGTTCACCAACATTCCTCCTGTGTTTATTTGCAACTCTCTGGTTTTTCCAGCCTCTGTTTTTTTGCCCTCTCCTCCTAAATGTTATATCCAATGATAAAAGTATCTAGGAAAATACATATCCTTTTATAGAAAGTTATTTTCCCCCAGTCTAAAAATATACCCATGATCTATAAATAAACGAAATAAAGGTAGAAAAATAAAAAAGTATATGAAATCAAACAAAATTGGCTTTCTTCATAAATCCATCCTCTAATTGCTTGTGATAATCCCCATTTCAATGTTTTTTAAATGGTACATGGTTATGTTTTAATATTTAACAAATAAAAAAGTCCAGGTGCGGTGGCTCACGCCTGTAATCCCAGCACTTTGGGAGGCCAAGGCGGGCAGTTCACGAGGTCAGGAGATGGAGACCATCCTGGCAAACACGGTGAAACCCCGTCTATACTAACAATGCAAAAAATTAGCCAGGCGTGGTGGCGGGAGCCTGTAGTCCCAGCGACTCTGGAGGCTGAGGCAGGAGAATGGCGTGAACCCAGGAGGCGGAGCTTGCAGTGAGCCGAGATCCCGCCATTGCACTCTAGCCTGGGCGACAGAGCGAGACTCCGTCTCAAAAATAATAATAATAATAAAAAAATAAAAATAGTGTTGCAGGAAATGTTTTGATGGCAGTATTGAGGAAACTGCAGGCAGTATTCTCCCTCCTCAAACTGAAATAATTCAAAGTACTTGTTATTGTTGACTTGAAATTTTTTAAATTGAGAAAAGCACTATCTCCTTAAGCACATGTATGACATTTCTGTCCCCTGGAGCAAATTTTTTTTATCTTTTGTTCTTTCTTTAAATTTTAATTGTATTTCACACAGTATTTGTATTTTAAATATCTTTAAATACCCCAGTAAAATAAATCACTATTTGTGAGCTACAGTCCTTTACTAGTTCACTCCACTCCACTCTAGTTACTCAAAACTCATAACGGAAAATTACTCAACAATCCTAAAAATAAAAGCATCAGTGTGTGGTGGCAAATGGCAGGAGAAATTGTATTTCATTGGCTCTTCTAGCAATATTGCCACCCACAATTCCATTACCTGGTATGTACCCAAAGGACTATAAATCGTTCTATTATAAAGATAAATGCATGCATATGTTCATTTCAGCACTTCATAATAACAAATACATGAACTCAACCTAAATGCCCATCAGTGATAGACTGGATAAAGAAAATGTGGTACATATATGCCATGGAATACTATGCAGCCATAAAAAATGAGATAATGTCCTTTGCAGGGACATGGATGGAGCTGGAGGTCATTATCCTTAGCAAACTAATGCAGGAACGGAAAACCAAATACCACATGTTCTCACTTGTAAGTGGGAGCTAGATGATGAGGAGTCATGGACACATAGATGGGAACAATACACAGGGCCTCTTGGAGGGTGGGAGGTGGGAGGAGGTAGTTGATCAGGAAAAATAACTAATGGGTACAAGACTTAATACTTGGGTGTTTAAACAGTCTTTACAGTAAACCCCCATGACACAAGTTTACCTATGTAACAAACCTGTACATCTATCCCTAAACTTAAAATAAAAGCTAAAGACAACATGAAAATCTCACTGAAGCTGGTTCTTTGTGTGTTGGCCATACCTGAATGAATCACCTAGGCAACTTGGTCTATGTAATTTCCTTTATAAGCAAATTATATATGTTCTGTTATATGATGTCAAACATAAGAATAGAGGTAGTCTTTTTTGATGCAGGAATCTATAGCACAGCAGGTGATATTGGTAACTGATTTATATGTGAAACTATTATGCATACTTTAAAATGCCCAATATTGATACCTAACTGAAAACCAATTTTTAAAATATTTCTGAGGAGGCAAAAGTCTGTGTGTAGCAAAACACAGATTTTCTGAGATTTTATCGAAATTTAGGAAATTAATGAAAATTTGGCTTACACAAACTTTATTCAAATGGCAAGTGTCATTAAGACAGGATGTCATATAATTTCTCTTAAAATAAATCATTTATTTTCAAATAGAATCATGGTGACTGTTCCAAGTATTTTTCTCCTAAAATAAGTAAAACCCTGTGAATCTAGACAGAAACAGAGCGAATAGGGCATGAAAGAAATTATTACAGTGGAAAGTTATTAGCTAGAATCAAGGGCCAGCTTAGAGACAGAACAGGAAGCAGAAGGTGAGTTTGATCTTTAGCCAGTTCAGAAGCCATGCACCATGGAGGCCATCTGGATGCCGGAAGTTAGTTTAAATTCTGGTCAATGCTTAATTTGGAGTAAGTCTTTAAATTCTAGGGAAAGAGCAAGCCTTTCCACAGACAGGCTATTTTACATATTCTACAGAATATTTTACTACTGTAAAATATTCTAAACTTATCATTTAGAAATGCCATAGTCAAAGAAGCTAAGATGCAAAATGACATTATGGTGCAACCCTAGGAAATCTGAAATCTCCATATTTACTCAGATGTGTAGCATATGTTGATATTTTCCTTTTTGTATTCTTTAGAAAAAAGTTCACCATCCACTTAGGAAAATAATAATTTTTTTTTAAGTTTAAACAGCATTTGTTGAAATTTGCGATGTCTGATATCTTTACAGCAATTCATTTCTTGGAATGTTAATGTTTCCCTTAACTCTTGCCATTTACTTATTGCTGTCATATGAAACCATCTAAGACAGTACTGTTCAGTAAAGTAGCTACTGACCAGATGTAGCTATTTAAATCAGAATGTAACTTAGTTAAAATAAAACATATTAAATATCCACCTCCTCATTTATACTAGCCATATTTCGAGTCCTCTATAGTCTTGTAGACCAACTATTTCCATCATCAGAGAACGTTCTAAAGGACAGCCCTATTCTAGAGATGATGTTGGTAAGTTATGGCCCATTGGCCAAATCTAGCCCACTGCCTATTATTGTGAATAAAGAATTATTGCAACACAGTCACACTCTTCTGTTCAGTATTATCTAAGACTGCTTTACTATACAGTGGCAGAGTTGAATACTTGTAACATATACCTCCCACAAAATCTAAAATATTTACTATCTGGCCCTTTGCAAAAGACATCTGCTGGCCCCATATCTAGGCTATTGTCTAAAGTGCATTTTTAAGGGCTATTAAGGTGAATAGCTCTTGACCTTTGTTTCCCATTCTTTTAATTTTCATGTAATTTATGTTTTGCATAAATTTGTTTCAAGGTCTCTATCTTCTATCTCAAGCTCTCTTTGCAGTGTGCTAGCCTTAAGTGCTTTTTCAGATTCAGGTAAGAAAATGATTGCAATGAGTGGCTACTTTTGTTGTTTATGTCAAACTGAAGTCATAATCTCTATAAATTTTGGGAATGCTGAGTGTTACAGTGGATAGGCCTGACATTACAGCCACAAAATGTATCAAAAATCAGTTTGGAACTGGAAATATTTACGTGCTCTTTTCTTCATGTCTGTTTCATAATATGTGACAAATGCAGTTCACGATGTTACTCAGTAATTTGAGTTCATTTTGTATTTACAGACTCGATTGCACTTTATATGCAAATGACTCATTATACTTTAGAAAAGCAGTATGTTAATTTGATTAATTTCTTACCTTATTTAAATCTTATGAAATGTCACCTGCCATTCAATCTACACACCAGTTATAACAAAACAACAAACATTACAAAGAACTGAAGCATTAAATTTCTCCTAATCAGAAGGTGGATATGACAGGATTCACTTTATGCACATATGAATACAGAATATGTTGGAGGTTTGGAACTCTCTGTTTCCAACGCCTCCATGGGCCCTAAGTAACAGACTCTTAATAATAAAATTGTCCATCTAAAATAAACATCTGGGAACGTTGATTTCATTTTCTATGTGGTTTGCAGTAGTTTTTGAATTAGACAAGCTCTGTTTGCAAGGCTGAGGTACACTATAAATAAAACATTGCTTTGCAAGTATCTTTTTTGTGGCAACTCCTTGTATCTAACATGATGCCATCCCCTTTGAAGGAGTTTGTTTCCTCTTGTCATTGCCTTTGGTCATGGGGAATGATAAGGATAATTATGTTGTCTACCCCTGTGATATTTGGTGCTGTGTGTCTCCCTGGTAGGATGCCATATTTCCTCTTTTCAAAGCAGCTTCTGTTCCTTCTGTCCACTGACTCTCAGCTTTAGGGAAAGGGGAAATGTACAGCATGACACTGCAGGCGAGAATTTATTCCTGGAAGCCACTGAAGGGAAATTAGCATGGTTAGATGAAAAAAGGAAGCCTTGAGCAGAGCAACCCTGTAGATCAGGTAGCTGTCGTATGGTAATGCTGTGTGTAGAAGGAATAGTATTTTAGGCTGTAGACTTGTGTCTGCATATGGTTCTTCTGGTGTAACAGGATGGTTTATTAAAGAGAATAAAACTTTGGGAGTCTTGTTTGTCCCAGCAATGCCATAGGAAATTGTAGCACATGAAAAAATATATAGTATTAGGGGATTCACAGACCAGTAGGAAGTCTAGGGGTATTTAGAAAGAAAGAAAACATATGGAAAGGAAATAAAGTCATTGTGTGTTTAAGGGATTAACTGATAGAAGAGAAACACTAATTTAAAGACTATTAAAATATAAGAAAAGTTGAAGAGAAGATTAGAAAAATAAAAGATATTCAAAGCTAGAATCTCAGGTATGTGAGAAAGGATAGCTCATACCTGAGATTCGTTAGGAAGGAGAAATTCAAAAGAAACACTGAATAGACCAATAACAAAGAAAGTATATTAAATCATTCTAATTGGCTTGATCATATCTGAGGAGCTAAATATTCCTTTTTCTAAAAAAAAAATGATGTTTATGTTAAAGATTAGCCTTTTTAAATTTTTGGTACTATTAAATATAGTATTGTTTTTTTCTTTTTCTTTGTTTTAAATAAAAAATGACATTTATTATTTTCAGGCTTTGTTAGGAATGGTTCTTATTTCTCATTGATTACTCTAAGTTTTTCATAAGATATTTACTCTGAGGTGGTTCTGACTTGCATTTTCTTTTCACTGGATTACTTAACAAGGAGGCTTTGCAGCCTTTTCACTGAGAATCTTTGTAGTGACCTTGAGTAAACTAGGAGTGTGTAAGCAGACATCTGGTAATTCAGAGATTTGTTGTTTGCAATCAAAAATAAAGGGAAGATTAAGTAAATATGAGAGATATGTATAGCCAGATTAGGAGAATATTATTAATGACTTTAGACTATTATATATATATATTTAATTGATGTTTATAAATAGCTTTGCTCCCTGTGGTTTTGTAATATAACATTTACCAAACTTCTTTTTTGATAGAATTTACATATGGCACATCAGGATGATTAAAAGCCAGCAGTCTTTTCACAGCATGGCAAAAAAAAATAGGATTTGATTTATCTTCATGCCTTGCCTATCCCTTGCTGTGACTGTACTTTTGAAATTTTAATATTCTCATTTCTCATGAGAAGTTTGTTATGTAAAATATTATGTAAATAACTTTCTACAGTTCTGAGAATTGTTTCTTGAATCATTATTTAACACAATAATTGTGTGATGTGAGAAACAGTATACTTAGTTCTCAGAATCGATCATGTTTTCTTAAAGCATGTGTTTTAACTTAAGCAGAATTATACCTATTCTAACATATTGGAATGTTGAAATTGCTAATACAGTAACTTTTTCAACATTTTTTAAGTATCAAAATATTCAGGCTATGTAGAAGCATCTACCTTGGCATATATTAGCATTGTTAAAACATTTTTAAAAAATTAGCCCCAGAACTGAGTTTGTTATTCTAGTACCCAATGTAATTCTGAATTCAATGTTAAATTGATGCAATGTAAAGAATATATGTTAAAATCTTATATGGTTATCAAGGCTGATTGGTCAAGTACAAGTACGCATGCATGGTTGTTTGTGTGTGTGTGTGTGTGTGTGCGTGTGCAAGAAATAACATGTTAATATGAGAAGAAAATGTGTTTATTTCCACAAATAGAATCATCAAACTGTTTGGTGATTGTAGATTATGCTATTTAACATGTCATGACTATTTAACATGTCTATTTTAACATGTCATGTTATAACCAGTTAAATTGAACAATATTCAGATTTGTGTAAAATAACTACAAACTCACTTTAATAATAGTATCCCTTCTGAGGACAATGGGATTCTGTGGGAAAAAAAAATGTTACCTATGACTCCATGTAAAATAATGCTAGTTACTGTGAAATTAGAACTAATTATATATCAAAATTTAACAGCATCATCTTCAAATTTATCATAACCTTGACTCATAAGTAGCATTTGTGCTCCAAAATCAGAATATGTTTTGACTCGGGGCTTGATGGTCATGCCAGAAATCACAGACAGCTAATGGCAGTGTCAAGATTTGAGCTCAGGGACAAATATCTTGCAGATGTTTATAGCAAAAGTTTTGTTCATATCATAATGTATTGTTTTATCTAAAAATTATATTGTTCTTCCCCTTATCAATAAAACCAAGATATATAAGATTTGCTTTAATATTGCCATTTTTGTCTATAGTACATCCTCCTTGGGTGTGGGGTTATGTGGTGAATATTTAACATATTAAACAGGAAGTGTAGGAATAATTTCCTTCCAATGCCATGAGACACAATTCTAATAAGAACTCACACTCATATAGTCCCTTTAATGGTGCCACATCTCATATACAGTGTCTAAACCACTTTCATGACCATAGTTCCTTTTGATCCCCACAGCTTGCCAACAGCTCTGTGAAGTGAGATTCTCATTAGATCCATGACACAGGTGGAGATACCAAGGCTCCTTGGAGAAGGGCACATGGTTATGAAGGGACTATGCTGAGATGCAGGTTCAGGTCTTGAAAGTAGCTTGTGCCCTTTCCACTTCGCCACAGCTGCTTTCATGAATGAAAGAGGAAAGAGACTGCTTTGTTCATGTTTGTTTTAATGCTTTAAAAATGTATATATTACTGAGAAGTTTGAGATGCTGGGAAACATTTCAAAGTTAAAAGCCATGGTTGGAGGTCAGGGTCAGATGACAGACACTATGTTGTATAAAATTTTTATCAAGAAAACTATTGTCAGAAAATTGTTGATGCAATTTCTAGTCTGTTTATAATAAAATCATGGTGTTAAAATCACTCCCATTCACGGCTTCTGTGGGAGATTTGATTCTTTCTGATGTACTTGGGTTTCTGCCATTTCAGTCTGATGTGGGAAGTGAGAGAGGTGATGGCTGGGATACAGGAAAGAGTGCCTAATCAGCTACACTGACCTTTAAGGACTATAATATCGTGAGTTGAATACATTATATTGCAGAGCTATATATAACATTGTGTGGGGAGGCAGAAGAATTTGAAATATATGCTTTTTAAGACTGAATATATTTGTGAGAGAAAAGCCTTCTTAATACAACACTAAGATTATCAGTACTTTTGCCTTCCCTTATACAGGGAAGCCTGAATTTCATATCTCTATGATGGATTCACAAACATAACCTTCTCGGTTTAAATGACACTTAAAGATAATTTAAATGACAATTATTTAGATTTACATTAAAAAAAAACAGCTGTATGAGATTCTTCCAAGTCTTCTAGTGCTTAACTTGTGGTTTCACAATTTTGCCAAGTAGACTGACACATAAGGCTGTAATAGATCAGTGTGAATAAGATTATATGGAAACATTTCTCAAGAGTTCAAAGTGTGCTAATTATATCAGTAAAATAAAATATTTTAGATGATACTAAATTTAAAAAATGACTTCATATTTTTTATTATTGTCATGAACTACTTCCAGAACATGCGAAGCATTTGAAGTTTTCAGAGTATCTCAGTTCCTCTTTTAACTTCTCCAATGCTCATAATGCCTAGTGTACAGAAATTCCTTTGCAAACATATCCCTAGCACCCCTACTAAATGCCTTACTAATGGTATAGATGCTCTAGCTCTTTCATTCCAAATTTTCTTTAATTTTAATATATTTATCTTTAGTTCTATTCTGTTGGAACAACACCAGGTAATTTAATTAAATCCTTATAAATAGTTCATTTACTTGCCAATGACTGATATGTATTCCTCCATTTATTATTTTTCTTTATTTTTTAATGGGGTAGAAATGCAATGGATTGGGTAAGAGAGGTGGATAATTAAAGATAAACCATGTTTTCAGCTTGAGCAACTTGGTAAATGCAAGTGCCATTTCTAACATAGGGGAAATGGACAAGGTGAAGCTGAATAAATGGACAGTGGTGTCGTTGGATAAAATCAGGATTTCAATTTTTTAAATACAAAGTTTGAATTGCCTCTGTGACTGCAAAGTAGAAATGTCATGTAGAAAGTTCAATATATAAGTCTAGAGTTAGAAAAGAAATATGACTGGGGATGATAATGTCTGATTCTTGGAATAGGTATGATTATTTCAGGAGAGTAAAAGAGAGACCAGAGCCCAGGAGGAAGCCCTTGGGATTTTCATCATGATAAATCTATTCTCCCGTAAGTGCGATTTTAATGGATTTCTTACTTTCAGCTTGCATATTATCATGTTATTCATGTTATCATAAAAGCCAAATGAAATCTTGTAGGATTATATTCATTTTCATCAAAATCTGTGTGATAAAGGTGGCAGTAATCATACTAAATTATAACCTGTAGTAAATAATATGCTCCTAAATCTCTTTTAATTACCAAGGACAAACACACCAGAGCCTCTTAACAGTACTCTACCTACCAAGTATTTTGACTTTTTTAGGTACTGGGCTCTATTTTAGAGCCTTGTGGAACACAAATGTCAGTAGATAAACATACAATATTTCATTGACATCCTTAAGGACAAACAGATACTTGGCATTTTAGATTTGAGACTACTTAAAACATATTGACTATAAAATAAGTTAGATATAACAAATATGCTCATCTGTGCTGACATCCACAACTTTCATGCCAGTGGATATGTAATCAACATTTACGGCACGGTTTTCCTGAACTGAGACTTGGTTTCAGAGTCCTCCTCTGTACTCTAGTACAAACTCTCACACTGAAATGTAAAGATTAATCTCATTTATCATTTCCCTCTATTATCATAAAGTTATCAAGCATTTGCAAAAGGCATTTTATTGCAATAGAAACTGTGTTCATCTACTAGGGTTCCCATAAGAAAATACCACATACTGGATAACTTAAACAACAGAATTTACTTTTCTATAGTTCTGGAGGCTGGAAGTACAAGATCAATGTGTCAGCAGGTTTAGCTTCTCCTGAAGCCTCTCCCTAAGGCTTGCAGATTCTTCCCACTGTGTCCTCACATGGTTCATCCTCCGTGTGTGTCACTTCTGTGTCTCTTTCTTTTCTTATAAAGACACTTGCCGTATTGGATCAGGGTCCCACCTTTCTTTTTTTACTTATTTAACTTTAATTTCCTCTGTCTCCAAGTACAGTCATTTTGCAGGTTATGGCTTCAATATGTAAATTTGGAGGTGAGGGGTACAATTCAGTCCACAATTCAATAAAATTATTATAATAAAATATAATCTAATTTTCACATAATCTTCAGCCAATTTGACACATATATACATTTATATATTTATTATATATACATGCGTGTATATATATTAGCCAATTTGGCACATATATACATTTATACATTTATTATATATGTGTGTATATATAAACACAGATCATGTATGTGTATATATGTCACATATACACACATGCATACACACACGTCTGTACACAAACACATATGCATGTATATACATTATATTCACAAATATTGAATGTAAATTGAATTCAAAATTGAATGAATGTGATAGCTTTTTATGATAAGTATAAAGTATTACCAAAGTTTTGACATGTATTATTAATAGGTAGATAAATGAGAGTAGATATCAGAAGAGCATTTAGAAAGGAAAGATAGGAGAACTTATATTAAAAAAATGACTAGGTACATTACTACAGGATAGTAAATGCCACACTTCAGAGAAAGGCTGAATAGGTTCAAATCTTGGGTCCACTCATTGTATAACCTAGGGAAAATTACTTCTTCCTCTACACAATTACAATGAAAAAAAAAGCAACACTAACAACAAAATCTGAATCTTGAATTGTTGAGGGAATTAAATTATATATATATTTTATATTATATATATATATTTTATATATATATTTTATATATTTTATATATATATTTTATATTTTATATATATATATATATATGTATAGTGTTTATGTCAGAGACTGGCACAAAATAAGAGGCCCCTAAATATCCTTTATTATTATCTGTAGGTTGAGTAGAAAAAAAGTAGGCAGAAAAGCATAAGAACGACATGGAGTATACACTGTGTTTTAAAAAATAATTCTAAAAAATCAACTTCTCATAGTCTTCTCTCATGAAAATATAGTGGCTCTCACTCAATTGTGCTTTACTAAGACATAATCTATCATCTCTCAGTGAGTGATTGCCTGCCCTTTCCCATGGGTTGATTGCATTATGGCAGCTCATAACTTTTGCTACTTTTAAAAATCCTTAAGATGCCCTGTGACATTGCTTCCAGGTTTTAGAGCTGTCTCTCACCCATTGAGCCACAAAAAGTGAACCTTGATCTAGAATGTGCACATTGTAGATCATAAAGGCCAGCTCTCTCGGTCCCTCAAAGAAGCACAATGAGAAAAGAGATATCTTACTGCTATAATACCTAATTCCTGCCCTGAGAAATTGTTCTTATTCCCCCAAAAGGAGTTTACCTAAACATTAATGAAATTGATTGAACAAAGACCTTTTGATTATGTTCTAGACATCATGCTAGATACTGTAACAGCTCCTTCAGAATAAAATTCATTCTGCTTTAGAACATTGTGATGTCATCATCCTATCACCTTTTCATCTCATAAGATAACTTGCATATTATATTTACCAGGCTTTTAATGAATCTTTAAAACTCATATAAGCATGCCACTGTTGAAATCAGTCATAAGAATGGTTTTATGACAGCATGAAAATCTTTATAAACAGTATTTTGAATAGCCTATGCCCTAGCTCTCTTGTTAAGCTTACATATAAATATATTGACATAGCTATTAAAAGAATTAGCTGCATTTCCTCCACCTACTGCAAAAAGAAAGAAAAACATTATCCCTATTGCTGACATGATTATATTATTTCTAATAAAGAATGGTCTTGAAAGCATTTGAGCCTGTTAGCTAATTATTGCAACAACATAAGAAAGTTTAGCATCAAATATGTTAACCCTAACGTCAAGAGTGGCAAATATTTCACCTTTAAGTGAGCAGTACTTTATAACTTTAGTAATTGAAATCATTCAACTATTTAAGAGTACATTGTGCAGCTAACTCATGCTAACTCATTGGACCAGACCAATCAGAACAGAGTTCTCAAACTCATATGGTCTATATTGGTCAAACTATCATTTTTATCATTAAATGTGCTTGTTATATGGTAGAAAATCTAGAGAAATCAAGAACTTGTACACATTTTTCTCCATAAGCTGTGTTACTTCCTCAGAAAATTCATTCTTTTGAAAGGCAGTAGATGTCCTGGTTTTCTCCCTTGGCAAAAATAAGGCAGATTCCCAAATGTACAAAACAACAGGTACCTTGCCTCCTACACCCATATCTAAAGTTCCACAACTCTTTTTATTTATTTATTTATTTATTTTTTATTTTTATTTTTTTTGGAGACAGAGTCTTGCCCCGTCGCCCAGGCTGGTGTGTAATGGCGCAATCTCTGTTTACCGCAACCTCCGCCTCCCAGGCTCAAGCGATTCTCCTGCCTCAGCCTCCCAAGTAGCTGGGATTACAGGCACCGCCACCATGCCAAGCTAATGTGTGTGTGTGTGTGTGTGTGTGTGTGTGTGTGTGTATTTTTAGTAGAAACGGGGTTTTACCATGTTGGTTAGGCTGGTCTCAATCTCCTGACCTCAGGCAATCCACCTGCCTTGGCCTCCCAAAGTGCTGTGATTACAGGCCTGAGCCACCGCACCTGGCCAAGTTCTAGAACTCTTTATCCATTTTGTGCTGCTATAGCAAAATACCACAGGCTGGGTAATTTATAACAAACAGAAATTTATAGGGTCACAGTTCTTGATGCTGAAAGGCTATGATCAAGGTGTTGGCATCCAGCAAGGGCCTCTTACTCTGCTATCACATGGCTGAAGGCAGAAGGGCAAGAGCAAACTCACTTCTTAAAGCCCTTTATATAATGGCATGTATTGACTTATGAGAGCAAAATCATCATGAATTGAACATCTCCCACTGTTCTCCACCTTTCAACACTGTCACATAGGGGATTAAGTTTTCAACACTTGAATTCTGGGAGACACATTCAAACCATAGCTCCTTTGGCCCAAAGCATAAATATCAAAGCATATGTTCAGTAAAACTTCATTGGCTTCCAATATACTGATAGCATCCATTTTTGTTTTTCAAATTAGAAAGCAACTGTAACATTTATGGGTACAAAAAGAGAAAAAATTAAATGATTAATAATAAAACACAATTTTTAAGAAAAAACTAATGTCAAGTAAGACACAGGCAAATAATGACACCTTGTTTTGAGAGAGGATGTGTTTCTGGTTACAATAAATGTAAAGGAGAGAAAAATTCACAGTTGGACCAATATGCAAGTATACAGTAAAGGAAGGCTGAAGGAGGCCCATTGAGCTAGCTTAAATAAATTACAGATTTATATAAAAAAGAGGAGGCCGGGCGCGGTTGCTCACGCCTGTAATCCCAGCACTTTGGGAGGCCGAGGCGGGCGGATCACGAGGTCAGGAGATCGACACCATCCTGGCTAACACGGTGAAACCCCATCTCTACTTAAAATACAAAAATTAGCCCGGCGCTGTGGCGGACGCCTGTAGTCCCAGCGACTGGGGAGGCTGAGGCGGGTGAATGGCGTGAACCCGGGAGGCGGAGCTTGCAGTGAACGGAGATCGCGCCACTGCACTCCTGCCTGGGCGACAGATAAAGACTCCGTCTCAAAAAATAAAAATAAAAAATAAAAAAAAGAGGAAAACATTGCATGTTTAGAGGTCTATGTGAGAAAGCGTACAGAAGCCCAAGCAAAACATCAAAGAAGATGCAACGAAATAAACCATTTGACATGATAACTTTATTACTGGAGTGGAATTCCTAGATTGGGCATAATTGACAATGGGCCACTTTTACAATTTTGCATATCTCATGGCTAGAGCTAAATTTGTTGATAATATGCTACATGTGTTCAAAAAAAAAGAAAAGAAAAGGAGAAAAAGGGAGGATAGGAAGGAAGGAAGGAGAGGAGAGGAGAAAGGAAGAGAAAAAATAGATCTTGAGCGGTGCTTTGTGAACAATCATGTTTACATACTCCTAAATCGATAACTTTGCTGTTTCTTAGGTCATCCAACTCCCACCCAGACCTGCTCCTTGTCAAAACCTATACACTGGCTCTGTCCTTGCACTTTGGTTTTCTATAAGTCTTGGCAGTTTTGTAAGGCACAATGTGTCTTTAAAAGACACAACGGAAGAAAGCATGCTGATGTGTTATTTGGTGGGCTGGTATGGGACTAATAATTTTTTGAAGTTGCAGTTAATCATGCCAATAATAAGCATGGCATCGTTGGTTCCTTAAACCTATGACTACAGGAAACATTAATTAAACAAATGCTTCTTAAGCACTTAATATGGTGGAAGTGTAAAAAAACAATTGTAATGACTATTTTTTGGGCTCTTACTATGTTCCATGCACTGTGTTATGTGTATTCCACACACAGTCTCTTTCAATTTTTAAAACACTAAGAAATAGAAAATGTAATTCTGTTTGTTTAATATATAGGAAAATTTTAGCTTAAAAACTTTAATAGCCCAAGGTCAAATAGTTGGTAAGGGAGTACAGAGAGATTCCAAACTATATCTGTGTGATTCCAAAATATATGTTATGAACTGATAAACTGTATACCACTTACTTCAAAATTACTCCCGTAAGCTCAAGTTCAATGTGTCTGACCTATTCATTGCTCAAGATTTAAATATCATGTTTCCTAGATGCTCTGAAACTATGAGGTCTTTTTTCACATCTGTGTTTGATGCATCCAATATGGACCGAATAGGGCTGGGTGGAACCCTGCTGCACTCTGAAACATAGACCAAAGTTGTGGTTTAGGAGCAGTATCATAAAATCTGGCACTTTCCAAGGCATATTTTTTCCCATTCACCTTCTAGGGAAAAAAGTAAACCTGAAATTTAATTTTTTATGTCAGGTTGGATGAAGAAGAACCAGAACTTCTGCTTTATATGATCTCAGTTTACCAGAGATCTAAATTTTGGTATGAGAGCATATAGATTAAAATGCCTACTAATTTCCATCAAATGAATTTCTTTCCCATCCAGTTTCCCAGTGCAAGAACATATGGGAAAGCCACAATTTTAGAGGAAGTATTTTATTAATTAAATAGCACATTCTATACCTAAAATATACCTGACCATGGCAGCTCCTCATACAGTAATACCTCTTATGAATGTCCTAAATTTTACTTCTTTATTACCTTTATGCTCAAGTCCCTGAATATAGATTTTTACCTTCCTAAGAAGGTGATCTGATAAGAATGTGCTTCAAAATTCTAGCACCATGCTGGGCAAATCTTGGATAGTCCTGTTGTTTGTCAATCTTGAGACCTCTTTCATTTTTTAAGGCAATTAATCACCTGCGGTGATACTAAGGTTTGCTTGGAATTTTTACATTTTGAGTTGCTTCTTTGATAGCATCATCCAGATTTTATTAAATGGGAATCAAATAAACAATTAAAACAGCTAATCGTGCCATCTCCCTCTCTTTCCCCTTGCTGAAAGACACAGGAGGCTTTTCAGCCTTCTTTTTCAACTCCCCCTCTCTTGTTCTTTTGTTTTCAAAGCTGATCAGAAATAAGATACCCTAAATATATATATAATATTGCTAACATTAGAATGGGCTCCAAGAAATTAAAATAACACTACTAATATTAAATTATATATGATAAAATTAATTGGATAAAAGATAATAAAAGGATGGAAGTGGTAGTAAATTGAGTTGCAGATATCAGCTGCAGCTGACTCACAGACATCAGAATACTAAGATGAGGACTGCATTGATAAGGTGATTTCCCTGCTAATATCTGTTTTCTTTATTGGTAAAGAAAAGATTACAGAGTCAAATGTAAAAAAGTGAGTCAAATAAGGCCAAAGAAGGTAAATAGCATAGTAAATAATTCAAGAAGTAGTCGGCAGGCAAAAAAATATTTTGAGACATCTAAGCCAAGACTATGCATATATAGCAGAGAAAAATCTGTCAAACACCATCTTTTTCAATCACAGTGTTTTATATTTGAAGTTGTCTACAGAAAGTATTTGTTTTTATTTTGTAAGCTTTTTATGGTTAAAATGAAAGAAAAGAAATTTATTTTTCTTATTTTTTTAATGTCTGGAAGTAGGGATTCAAGCTGATAAACAAAATATATTATGTTGAATTTATACTATTTTGATGAATATATATATATACATCAAAATTATTGAAATAATGAAAATTAAATATTTGTTGTATTGATGCAAAATTTCATTTGAAAACTGCATTTTTTCAGGCTGGTGATAGCAGATCTGTAATATAATATCTAACAAATGGATAGTTCTTTGCAAATATTTGTTCAGTGCTAAGCACTTGGAAATTTGGGCATGGCGATTTCATAAAATTCAAGCTGCTATTTATGATTGTTTGAATTATACAGTGCGATGGATGGCAGCAATTAACCAAGAAAATATGAAGTGAATTATCCAAATAATTAAATCAGAGGCTAAGCTGTAATTACATATTGAAAATCCACTTGCAACATTTAATTATTCTGCAAGACTTGCATTATTTTTTGTCATAGAGAGCTGTTTGATATGGTGGGAAAAAAAGCTGACCTGGCAGTCAGAAACCCTAGCTTCTGCTGTCAACTACAAAACTACCCCACTCCGTGTCTTATTCTGTCACAGATTCTCTAGCTTTAATATAGGAAAGGAATTTGTGATTGCTTAGGCCCTTTCCACCTCAGAAAATGTTAGGAGTCACTGTAACACATGTAGAAACAACCAACCCTATGTAAAAACAACCAACCATGAAGTTGAATCTCCACTTTAGTCAACATGTGATGCATTATTTAGACTTAGGAAAGGGATCGCTGGTGCTCATTATCATGAAGACAATCAGCTTTTGGAGGAAAATTTAAAACTCCAGCAAAAATCTTAGCATGGAGAGCACAAGTCATCTACACAGTCGCAGAGATGGCTTCTAGAACATGTTGGCCACTGTAGGTGAGCTAACCACTACCCCATGCCATTCAGTGTTAGAACCCAGGACTGCTGAACCTTAGGTGGATAACTGCTACACAATATGGAAGTTAACATATAATTTACTTTTATGTTTAACCTGATTTCAGTGATCAGTCCTCAGTTGTAAACTAGCCTCCGTCACTTACTAGCTGTGTTAACTAGAGCCAGTTATTTAACTTTTCAACGTTACTTTCTCTATTTATGAAATGGGAAAATAGTTCCCACTTCACAGCGTGCCAGGATGACTAAAGAAATAATGTCCTTTATGGTGGATTTATCATAATGCTCACCAGACAATAAATGCTCCTATTTATTTGGAGTTTGCTTGGAACTCCTATTTAATCCTCACATTTATCCGAAAGCTCAACTTATTTCACGTTCTTTCATTGGGCTTGAGCTCTGTCATGTTATGACCTCAGAGATAACATGCCATAGTCTAAGATGTTTAGCTAATATGAAACTGTTTTAGCCTGTGGCTTTGCCTAAGGATAAATGTGTGCCACCCTGGCCAACATGAAGGAGAAATTTGCAGTAGTAAGAGCTCGACAGTCTAATTAATTATTTAGAGGTTTCAAGGGGAAAAAGAAGCCTAGAGTCCCAGAGTTCCCATTTGCAATGTATTAAATAATCAGAATAATAAGAAACAGCAGAGAGAGACTGTCCTGGCTGTCTGGAATGTGTAGGATGTAATTTGAAGGCCCAAATTAGAAGTAACCTAGGATCTTAAAGACAGTTTTAAGGCTGAAGGTTTCAGGAAGGCAAGTCCTTCTAGAATTGCAATAGTATTTTTTCCTCCTTTTGTCTTTATTTTTGTATCTTGAAATGTCTGTAGAGCTTTACTTCCTTGCTTCTAAATTGCCTTCATGTATTAGAAGTCTTTGGCTGAGCATATAATTAGAGTCCAAATGTGAACACGAAGGAGAAAGGTGTCTAATAAAGTAAGTGGCAAATGTGAATTTATTAAAAGTAGGTCATGTCATACATTGTAATAGCCTTCTGTGGCATATCTCCTAAGTTAGGAAATAAAAGTAGTGAAAGATACTGAATGCTTAAGTTTGCAAAATGTGTTTGTTATAGTGCTACATAATAGACGCCTATACATTAATTGGATAAATACCTGAAAGAAAACCTGGTCCTATGAAGCCAAGTAAGCATAATCAATAAATGTACAGCCTCTAAGTGGAAAGCTGCAGGAGGAGTCTCAAGGGGTCAGTATTAGCACATATTAAGTATTTTGTTAATAATATGCTCACATCTGTGGAATATATTTTCTGATACGAAAATCAAATTAGCCAGGAAACACACAGAAGGGCAGAGCAACCTGCAGAGTTAACAGTAGTGGGATGAAAGTCATAATGAATATAAACTAATATTAAGATAAAGAATAAACAACAGGCAAATGCAACAGGAGAATCCAGTCTGGAAAAAAACAAATTGAGACACATGTCTGATACACACAGGTGTTTGCGGTTAATTTTGAACCGGTCTCATATATAAGAACAATTGCATGCATGGGAGAAATAACAAGAACTATAGATATCTATACATCATCGCCTAACAGAGTTTGCCATAGACTTTAGAGTAAGTGAATGATGAGTAGATGAACATAAAGGAATAAGAACAGATAATTGGTGAAAGAGGAAACACAAATGGCTAATCAACATTTCAATGTTTACACTCTGTGGTTATTAATATATTTAAAGGTATTTATTTATTTATTTATTTATTGAGACAGAGTCTCTGTCACCCAGGCTGGAGTGCAATGGTACTATTTCAGCTCACTACAACCTCTGCCTCCCAGGTTCAAGTGATTCTCCTGCTTCAGCCTCCCAAGTAGCTGGGATTACAGGCATGTGCCACCATGCTGGGCTATTTTTTTTTTTTTTGTATTTTTAGTAGAGACGGGGTTTCACCGTGTTGGCCAGGCTGGTTTCAAACTCCTGGCCACGAGTGATTTGCCCGCCTCGGCCTCCCACAGTGCTGGGATTACAGACATGACTCACCACCTAAAGGTCTTTTTTTAATTAAAAATGAGCAAATAAAAAAATGACAATAGTAACAGCTAACACATGTATTTGTATATGTCAGATATTGTACTATGTGACATAATATAATTTATTTCATAATCCCAACACTCTTAGGAGGCAAACACTGTAACAGCCTTTTACCGATGAGATAGGGAGCAGTGAGTGAGTAGTCCAAGGTCACACACTGTAATGGTGGAACTAGAATTTGAACTCAAGCATTCTGCCCCTGCGTTTCTGCTCTAGTTTATTACATTTTACTAACCTGTCCAGCATTTCTGGGGCTGAAAAGATGTGGGGTGCATTGTATATTTTAAATTCAAGGACAGTAAGCCATGTATTGGTTCTGATGTAGTTCAGTAAAAATTTGCTCAAGTATTTGATATGGGGGAGAGATTCACAAGTTTATGTCCATTTTCTATTGATGGAGATCCATAGTTCTCAATGTGTGGTCCCCACAACAGCAGAATGGCAATACCTGGGCTGCTACAATTGCGAATTCTCAGTCCTTAACCTAGATGTATTGAATCAGAAATTTGTGACTGGGACCCCTGCTGTGTTTCAACAATTCCTCTGGGTGAGTCTGGTACACTCTCAAGTTTGGGAATAACTGATGTAGGTAACACAAACTCTTTTCTAGTGGTAAATTAGCTCACCACAAATTAAAGAAATTTATTCTTTATATTTCCTAAATTTATATGCAAGATTCTAAGAGCAACTAATTGTGTTCCTGCGTCCAAAAACCCTATTCTCACCAAAATGTTTCCATTACTCTGTATCAAAAGACAAAGCCTCTTAACTTGATCTAAAATGCTTGGTTTTCTTACTCCCCTACCTTCCTCTCCCGTCTCACCTTGAACTAGGCTCTCCTTTGCACTCTGATTTCCAGCCACAGGCCATTCAGTCCTTAATGGTCAAATCATTTCACTGCACAGGTGTTTTGTACATGGCTTTCCCAAATTTGTTAATCGTATTTTTTACTTCTTTACTGAACTCCAGTTCAGTCATTGATTTTAATTTATTTATTTGTTTGTTTGTTTATTTATTTATTTATTTATTTGAGACAGGGTCTCACTCTGCCACTCAGGCTGGAGTGTAGTGGTGTGATTTTGGCTCACTGAGACCTCTACCTCCAAGGTTCAAACAATCTTCCCACCTCAGACTCTCAAGAAGCTGGGACTATAGGTGTGCACCACCATGCTCAGTTGATTTTTTATTTTTGTAGAGACGAGGTTTCTCTATGTTGCCCAGGCTGGTCTCCAGCACTTGGGCTCAAGGGATCCTCCAACCTCAGCCTCCCAAAGTGCTTACATTAGAGGCTTAGGCCACTACACCCTGCCTAGTATTCATTTTCTTAGCAATCCTTCAGCAATTCTGTGATAAGCAAGTCCTTATTAATCTTGTGGCTGCAAGGATCTGTCTCTTAAAGCCTGTATTGCAGTTGCACTTTTATAATTACTAAGATTAATACTGCCCATCTATCCTGCTTGGACTGTGAGCTTCATTTAGTCAGGTACCCTAAGTAGCCTTTGATCATATGGTGATTCACTGAATAAGTGAATGCATACATTTCTCTCATTTCTTTAAAGTTCCAAGCATGGCATGGTTTTTCATGAGTTAGAAAATTGATATTTTGTCTTTTCAAAAATCAGTTAAAGGGTTGTCTACTTAAAGAAACTGTTTCATTCTTTTGTTAAAATATATGTACAGAACTGAGTGCATTATCCATGAAGCTGTTCAGCTTTTTAAATAGCAGTACTAACACAACACAAGGCAATCCTTTTTCGAGTACCTTATTGAAAATCTAATGTAAACTCTGTACTCTCTTTTTCAAAAACATTTCCTACTGGGTATATAATTTCATAGAAATCACAGACTTGCTGAAGTCCATGTAAATCCACTATTTTAGATAGTTTTATCCTATGATAATTCAATTTTGTCCTGTTTCAAATTGTGTTTTACTTACAGTTATTCATTTGGACAAAGGTGATGGTAATTCCTAAATTAATAATTAAAATATTTTTGTGATTATATACACTTTTTTACACATTAAAGATTTTATATTTGTAGGATCCTTCTTAAAATATAAAAGACCATACAATATAATCAATATTCTAACATTTCATGATTCCTGAGTAGAAAAGGGGCCTGGCTAAATAAACGTCATTTCTGGGATTCTAAAACTTTAGAGATACAAAAGACTTTAGACATGAGCTATCCAGACATTTTATTTAAGGCTGATAGAACTGAAGCCTAAATATGATAATTGACTCATTAAAGATCAAACAATTAGGAGGCAGAACCAAAATTAGAGCTCAGGTCTATGACATTTGACTATGACATTTAAATAATAATTTGGAGACAGGTGTACTTTATTAAATAGCAGAATCCATAAAACTTAAAATAATTAAATCACTTTGAAAAGTTTTTTTTTTTTTTTTTTTTTTTTTTTTTTGAGACGTAGGTTTTGCTCTTGTTGCCCAGGCTGGAGTGCAGTGGCGCCATCTCGGCTCACTGCAAGCTCCGCCTCCCGGGTTCACGCCATTCTCCTGCCTCAGCCTACCGAGTAGCTGAGACTACAGGCGCCCGCCACCATGCCTGGCTAATTTTTTGTATGTTTAGTAGAGACGGGTTTTCACCGTGTTAGCCAGGATGGTCTTGATCTCCTGACCTTGTGATCCGCCCACCTCAACCTACCAAAGTGTTGGGATTACAGGTGTGAGCCAATGCGCCCGGCCCTTGTTTTGTTTTCTGAGACAGAGCCTCACTCTGTCGCCCAGGCTGGAATGCAGTGGTGCGATCCCGGCTCACTGCAACCTCTGCCTCCCGGGTTCAAGTGATTTTCCTTCCTCAGCCTTCCAAGTAGCTGGGACTACAGGCGTGTGCCACCACGCCCAGCAAATTTTTTGTATTTTTAGTAGAGACAAGGATTTCACCGTGTTAGTCAGGATGGTCTTGATCTCCTGACCTCATGATCCACCTGCCTCGGCCTCCCAAAGTCCTGGGATTACAGGTGTGAGCCTCCAGTCCTGGCCTCTTAGTTTATTTTTTAAAAATATTTTTAAGTTTTTGACTACATATGTCTTGGTGTATGTAGTCAATTTTTTAAAATTTAATTTATTATGTTCTTACAATGAAAATAAGATTATTCACCAGAATAATTAAATAAATAAAAAATACTAGGGGTCTCTAAGTCAGTAAATAACCGACCAAGAGAAAAACAAAACAAAATATAATTGTCCATCTAAAACAGGGAATTGGAAATGGGACCAAGAGTTATTAATGATGATAATGATGATGATGCCTGCTTACCAAGCATCTACCATATATCAGGTACTCTAGATCTAGTTTATTGTGTTTTATTTCTTTTTTTTAAACAAAGAAGATACTATTCTTAATTGTATACAAGAAGCAGCTGAGCTTCCAGAAATGTAACTTTCCCAATGATACATAATTGCTAACTTCTACAAGCACAGGCTAATTTTGAGAAAAGCACATTTGAGCCATTGTACTACACTATTTACTGTCACTTGGAACAAATACTTATTTTGGCCTCCATTTCTTTATAAAACAAGAAAATTCTACATTCTACTTAACGGATATGTGTAAAATACATTTAAAAAAACTTCTAATTATAATATCTTCCTACAGAGCCGTGGTCCTCAAGCTTTGGTGTACATAAGACTCCAGGAAGAGTATTTTTGAAAATATCTCCCGTTCAGCACTTACTACCAGAGATTCTGATTCAGGAAGTCTTGTGTGGGAACTAGTAATCTGCATTCTCTTATGTCAATTCAGGCGTAAACGTAGTCCCACTCACCTAGTGATTAAGAATAAGATTAGACTTAAGAAAAGTATTACGAAAAAGATTCACTTTGTGCCTCCAGGAACAAAGATCCCAATCCCTAAACCTTGTCTTGAACAGGTGCATCCTGTAACAGATTAATTGCACAGCTGTTTGAATCAGAAAAGCTCCAGAGTATTTGTTCTGAGTGAAAAGAAAAGTTATGGCATATGTTGGAATAAAAATCCAATTGTGGTAAATAAGTAACAAATTGATCCATTGATTATACTTCACAATTAATACTACCCATGTTCCAAGGCAGCGGTCCCCAACGTTTTTGGCACCAGGGACCAATTTTGGGGAAAACAATTTTTCCACAGAAGTAGTCAGGGTTAGTGGGTGAATTAGGGGCTGGGGGGCGGGAGGTGTTTTGAGGATGAAACTGTTCCACCCCACATCATCAGGCATTAGTTAGATTCTCGTAAGGAGTATGCAGCTTTGCAGCCTAGGTGCCTTGCATATGCAGTTCACAATAGGGTTCCTGCTCCTATGAGAATCTAATGCCGCCCCTGAATCTGACAGGAGGTGGAGTTCAGGCGGTAATGCTGGCTTGCTGGCCCGCAGCGCACCTCCTGCTGTGTCGCTTGGTTCCTAATAGGCCAGGGACCAGTACCGGTTGGCGGCACAAAGGTTAGGGACCCCTGTTCTAGGCGTTCTTGGATTTAAGAACTCAGCTGCTGAGTAGATGAAAGAGACCAAGAATCAATTATAGACGCTTAATATGATTTGAAAGAGGTTTATCTATCTTTTCAAAATCAGCATTAAGTAGAGATGTACAGGATGATAAATTATCATACCACTGCTAAAATGTGCATCTGAATAAAAGGGCATACGTAAGTTTTTATTTAATTTGCTTTAAAATTGACCTGAGATTATTTTAATTTTATATGTCTTTAAAGACATCATTTTTATTTTTATTTTTATTTTTGTGACAAATTCTTGCTGTGTTGCCTAGGCTGGATTGCAGTAGCGTGATCAGCTCACTGTAACCTCAAACTCCTGAGCTCAGGCAATCCTCCCGAGTAGCTAGGAGTACAGGTGGGCACCACCATGCTCAGCTAATATTTTTTTATTTGACTTTATTTTTTTTATTTTTATTTTTTTTTTTTTTGTGCAGACTGTGTCTCACTTTGTTGCCAGGGCTGGTCATGAACTCCCAGCCTCAAACCATCCTCTCACCTTGGCCTCACAAAGTGTTGGAATTACAGGTGTGAGCCACTGCACTAGGCCCAAAAACATCATTTCTAACCACTGTATGAGTCAACTTAAAATCTGGTGATCTAGGAAAAAAAAATCTAACTGTGTGTCACTGCTTTCACTGTGTTTTTATAAGTAAAGTAAAATGTAGTTAGGGCACGTCATTCCAGTATAATATTTATACCAAGTGTGTGAATATTTTATATACAAAAAATGTGCTTTAAGGTGGCTTACACTATACTTAGCATGTGTTAACATGGTCTTGGGTAATCGCCAGTGTATTTGATGCTTTCCAGCAGTTTAAAATAATCAATGTTGCTTCTGTCACACTCCCTGTATCTTGGTTGGCATTTACAATGCAAAGTAACTGTTTTTACACAAGATCTTAGATGCTATTATTCTTGATTTAAAATAACTGCTTGGTCAGGATACTGACAAAAATAGTGACAAGGAAAAGAAGCTGGGTATATAATAGTATTAATTGTATTTCAGTGTGATTTCATTGGTTTAATTTAAATATACTTCATATAATCAAAAGTAATTATATTGTGAGGTGATAATGCATAAAATCAAGCAGAGATTTGAAATTTGATGTTATTTTTATTTTTACCCTAAGCCTAAATTATACTTTTGAATTTTTGTTCAATATATTTCCTAGAAAAAATAATAGTAAATTATATGAGACATAAAAATACCCTACAATTTTCTATTAAATACAGCTTTAGGTTGCCATTTGTTCCAAGGGATATTTTAAATCAATTTTCTGAAGTTATATATAAGAAAGGCTTCACGCTTTGTCATTTCAATTAATTCTTTGTTAATAAACTCATTTAAATTACACGTATATATTTATATAGCTAGTTTATAGATCAGATTGTAATTGTTATTTTAGACATTGAAATAGATTTTAAATGTATTTAACTAAAACCTAGAGTGAGTCATGGAATGTGACTAACATGTACTGTCTGTATATCTTGTATACATAACATATATATGATTTTATTTTATGTAAAATTGGCCCTTGAAGAACACAAGGATCAGGGGCATTGACCCCCATGTAGTTGAAAATCTGTGAATAACTTTTGACTCCTCCAAAACTTAACTACTGATAGCCTACTGTTGACTGGAAGCCTTACCAATAACATAAACAGTAGATTAACCTATAGTTCATGTTACATATATACTATATACTGTAATCTTATAATAAAGTAAGCTAGAGAAAATAAAATATTATTAAAAAGTCAGAAGAAAGAGGAAATATATTTAGTATTCGTATGGGGGAGGTTGGTCATCCTATTCTTCATCCTTGTCGTTTTCCTGTTGAATAGGCTTTGGAGGATGAAGAAGAAGAGGAGGTAGTCTTGCTGTCTCAAAGGTGGCACAGGTGGAAGAAAATCCATATTTAAGTGCACCCACACAGTTCAAACCTGTTTTGCTCAATAGTCAACTCTATTTCAAAAATTTAACGTCAAAAACTACACTGTAATCTTCAAATGTTCATAGTTTACCTTAGATAATGTCTTAAGGTAAATTAAAAGAGCTATGGATTATCAATAAATTGTGAAATTCCATGCAATTTGCAATGACAGCAGTCGTTATTTAAACCTTGAAACTTACCTCGAAACATTTTAATGCTCATCAGCTCAGTTGAGAGAGAGCACAGATTGCTCCAGGTCAGCAGAGAAACGATTTATTTCACAATTTAGCTCTCTAAATAACTTTATATTCTCTCATTAAGAACAGCAGTACAGGAAATCATTTACTGATCATTTTACAATGCACATAATATCCTTTGCATGCTTAGGCAACTATATGTTGATTTACAAATCAGGACAGACATCAAAATTACTGAACTTAGAAAATAATTCACAGTGTCAGTGTGAATAAATTTTTAGATTTTGACAATATATTTAGTGCAATGAAATAAGGTTCTTTTATCATGAACAAATTTGAAAAGTATTCAAGCAGGACTCCTAAACCATTTGCTCTGAATTATTGGCTTTATGATTTTAATACCATTTTTATGTCACTTTGTGGTAACCTTGTGAGAGCATAACAAACACAAGAAAAGGAGATCAGTTATGGATTAGCAAGTATATTTCTTACCCTTTAAAGAAGTTAGGGGAAAATTATGTCACAATCAGATTTATCTTAATACATCTAGATTTCCTATAAGAATGAGCTGAAGTGATAAATAAAAATAAGTATAAACAAAAATTTGGGATAAAAACAACATACAAATGTATATACACATATATTTATGTGTATGTAGATACAGCTGTAGATATATTTATTTGTAGCTAACAGGAATATTACATCTGCTACTTGTCAATATGAAAGAATAGAGAAATTAGAGAACAAAGTAAGAATGAAAATAAAATAAACAACTAACAGTTATTGAAACAGTAGACTCAATTTTTCAAAATAATAGAAAATTTTAGGTTGGGGTTTTTTCCTGTTGATTTTCTTCCTTTAAGTCTTTTTATTTCTGAGCAAGAGTTTTTTTGGAAAAACCAAAGATAATATGTATTTTACTAATGTAAAGTAAAATTTATTTAATAATGAAATATAAATTAAATAGAAAATGCATCCCATGTTATGGTTTTCATAAAGGAGATAAGTTCACACATACAGCTAAAGTATTTTGTTGTAATCATAGTTTTACACTGTTGTGATAAGTATATTAACACACAAAATTATTCATTTTGTTGCGGAAAAGCCAATCCTCATTACTTTCAAAAAAGCTACAAATAGACAAATAGCTCATTTGGTCATTTTCAAGTTTAATATTTTGAGAACATTTAATCTATTTGTGAGTCCAGTTCTGATCCTGTGCCCTATGTGCCATGTCCACAAGACTTGATCCTTCATAAAGACATTTTTTGCTATTCATTTAACAGTTAGTAGATGTTACTCAAAATTCAATTTCATGCTTAAACAATAGACACAAATCTACGTTCGTAAAGAGAAAACCTGTCTTTAGACAAAGCATTTGAACACTAGGAAAAAAGAGCAAATGACACAACTTCCAGGTAATTCTCCTTTTTACTTGTCTTCCTGTAAAACCAGTCCTAATTATATTTTAAGAATGCAGATCACAAACACTTCCTTGATGTGTGTGAGTCTGTGAGTGTGTGTGTGTGTAAGAGAGAAAGGCGTTATGTTCTCTTTGTTTCTCAATCCACAGACTTATACATAGAAATTTATAGATATGAATGTGATGCTCATTAGATAGAATAAAATTATTATAAGAAATATAAGTAAATATAACTGGAGGAAGAAGCCTGACTCTATTGCTCTCCATCTAAATTTTGTACCTAAGCCAAAGATGGTTTAGCTTTCATAGTTTGCAGCAAATACTAAGTACCTTATTTGGGAAGTAGAAAATAAATAGTAATTATCGTGTTGATTCTGTAACATAAAATCTACAAAGAATGATTTTTTCAAAATGGCTTTCAAAATATCAAATCAAGACAGTTAATATGATGATATTTTTATTTATTACTAGACATATTTATGCAATATATAAGTTAAATTTGAACTCTGCAAAATGACATTTATGGTTCTGATAATGCCATCATTTTTCAAAATAACATTTTCTAGAATATCTTCTATGTAAATGTGTGAATATTGGTACATTATAATCTTAGGACTATTTGTTAACAATAACCTCAGTTTTTATTACCTAACTTGAGTCAATATTTCTTCTCCTTTTCAGTTTGGAGAAATGTTAATTGAAAAGCTATCCCAATATTTAGTATGTATGAAGTCCCATGCAGGGTACAGATGGCATCTTAACCCCATCCATATGTTTAAAGCATCTCGTTCATTTGGAAGTCTTACAGGCACCAAAACAATCATGGAGAGAAGTGGTCTTTAAATTTTAATTTTATCAAAATAAACCAGATCTCTTGTGTATAAACCATTGCCAAAAACGGATTTTCTTCAAACAGACAGCAAGCCAAACCCATTTGTAAAGGCCAAGGAAAAGACTGATTACGTATGCATTTGATTATATGAGAGTTAGATTGAATTATCTTTGTTTTGGCTATGTTATTTTTGTTATTCATACACTTTCTAGATTATTTTTAAATACCTCTCAAGTGGCTTGAGGCTCTTTTCTAAGTATTTTTGTGTTTTACTCTCCATTTATTTAATTATCTGTTATCTTGTGATATACTATAAATTCATGAACATATCTGGGATTAATATACATTAAATATAAGCATATTTATGTATACATGTACCAATGTTTTATCCAAATCCTAACTAGTAATATTTTCATCTTAATATACAATAGGAATTAATTTTCTAGATTTTGCTTTTCTGTATAAAAATGGCACCTTTTGATAAACTTTGATAAACAGATTGGTGAGATGCCTGTGCATTTCCTATTCAATATCTTAATGGAAATAGTCAGGCTAGCTTCTTAGGTGTCCATTTGATAAGACAGTAGTCTGTATTTTGGGGTGACATGAATAATAGTCTTATTAAGCTCCTAAATTAAGATATAGTAACAAACATAAGCTACAGCTTATTGCCTTGACTAAGTTTGGTGAAAAATTATATAGTAAATATATTTTTACCTGAATTTAATGCTCCACTTTAAAAAAGAAACACATATACAACTTTTTAAAAATCTATTTTATTGCTTAAGCCATGATTTAAAAGAAACACACACACACACACACACACACACACACACATATATATATATCACTTTTTAAAAATATCTTTTTATTGCTTAAGCCATGATTCTTCAATAACAAGTCAAACTTCATTTCTCTTGAGTCTGAAAACAAGCCAAGATTTATTGGAAGGTGAAGAGAAGGAAATTGCATCAGTGATGACTGGTTTTGGAATGATGTTAATTTAAATATAAAATTTAAGGAAAGAAGCCATTATCAGATTAGAGTTTCATATCTCAGAGAAATGTTGCTCTAAACACCTTTTAATAACTCTCCCTAAAGAAAATAACATAAATAAGTTCATATTAACAGCTAAAGTGTTTCAAAATGGGAAGAAGCTCTTTGAGTCATAATTCCAATTTCAAGAATTAATTCGCCCCTCTTCTAGTCCTGAAACACATTAATGTGCTTGTTTATGGATTTTAAAAATGTAGAAGGAAAATTATAGAAAAAAAAGTATGCCTGAGAATGTCTTCACTCTTTCCAGAAAACATTCCTATATGCCTGCGGTTGCTTTCAAAACTAAGCTGGTGAACCATGAGGGGATTACAGTTTTATCAACAGCCTTATTCTGCACGAGCAGCAGGTGCACCAGCTTGATGACCTGCAAGGTCACTGGTGCCACTGAACCCAAGTTTCTGGCAGTAGTCACTTTGTGTTAAAACCATTATTGATGGTAGTCCAAGCAAGGTAGCAATTGCCAAGGAATAAGCTGAAGTACTAGATGTTGCTTTTAAAACATAGAGGAAAGAAAGAATGAATGAAAAAAAGAAAACAGATTCAGGCGCTTGGCTTATTTCTTATATGACTACTGCCAAATGCAGCCAACGCATGGCCATGGGAGTTGGCGCTGCAGGAGAGGCAGACATTCCACATGGAGGAAGTTGGAAGGACTGAAAAGTCAACGCTAAAACTGAAGGCAAAGATTGCCAAGTCAAATGCTGAATTGTGCAAGTACAGGATGTTTTCCTTTCCGTTTTTTCACAATGAAGCATTTATTTTACTCCCTCCTGTTTTGTTCAAAGACTAATGTTCTCAACTTTCACTCACCAAATTGCTGTGGTTTTGTTACTCATTTATACAACAATTGTAAGTAAATAGGGTCATTTAAGTAGCTTTGCTGGTAAAATAATTAAAGTTTAAAACAAACAGGAAAAAAAGTAGAACAGTCACTGGTGAACCCAGCTCCAAATATGTAAATGTTTTACCATGTTTTCTTTAGATTTAAAAAAGTGAAATGAATTTAGTGATATCCCTGCCATATGAATCCTTTAATGTTAATACATTAATATGTGCCCATGATAATATACAGTATTTATTTCAAATTTATATTAATGGTTTTGCTTACTGTTTCATGCTTATTGTCTAGGATAGTAGCTGCCACATAGAAGATTCTCCAAAAAGAATAAAAATGTTTGACTGAATGACTGCTAACACACTGATAGGTTATCCCTTTGCAATTTCCTTTTTCACTCAATATTATGTTTTTTATATTGTTCATGTTCATTGTTCATGTTCAGATTTTTCAGATGCTACACAATACTTGTCTGTGACTATTTAACAGTTTATTTAATCACTCTGATGTTCATTTATGTTGCTTAATTTTTTTAACTCCTACAAACAATATCCAATAAACTTTAAATAAGAATAGCAAATTAAGTTCAACGTCATTACACTGACACCATGTTTAAGATGTGGCAGAATGTTTGATGTTCGATTTGAGGATTTTGGATTCCTTGGAATAAAGGGAATTAATTCATTTTCATCATTATCACCAATAATGCCATATCATAAAAGTTTAAAAGAATTTATTAGTTTAGAGACTCCCCGCTTTTTAACAAAAATTAAATCCAGAGGAGATATAATTTCTATTTCTTAGGGGAGTACATATTTTCTAGGTTTTTATCTTCCATGGTAATAGGACATTGACATATCTAAAGCTGCATATGAGTTCAAAACAGAAGGGAGAAGTTTCTGAGTGTCTTCTATGAGCAGCTATTGCTCTAGGCATTGAGGATGTGGCCGTGAACAAAAACATCTGTTCATATGTTCATTCATTCAATAACACTATATTATACCTTTTTTTTAGGCAAGTGAGGTCTTGAATGCTAAAAATTTAAAGGCAAATATCAGACTTTTCGTTGATCTAATTTAAGACTTTATTCAAATTTACTAAATGCTTTGCCTCTGCTTATTTATGCCAGCTTTACAATTTAGAGAAGTGGCACTTTTCGATAATTAAAAACAGAAAATAAGCAAGAAAGAATAAAACTATTTGGTAAGGAGATGAAAATAGGAAAAATCTAAAGTTAATTTTAGAAAAGTGCCTCAGAGAATAGGTAAAAAATAGAGGTCCAGCAAAGTTAAAGAACTTTCCATAAAAGTTGTGTCAACCATAGTACTTGGAGCTAGGTAACGTTCACTAAGCACAGGATGGGTTTTTGGTTTAAATATTATATACCATTTTAGAGGGAGCATGGAATCAAAAAGTTTTGTGAATCTCCTCGTAACAACATTAATTGTAAAATTAAGATAAGAGTACTTCACTCATGTAATCTCAGCACTTTCGGGGGCTGAGACAGGCGGATCACCTGAGGTCGGGAGTTCGAGACCAGCCTGACAACATTGAGAGACCTGATCTCTACTAAAAATACAAAATTAGCTGGGCATGGTGGTGCACGCCTGAAATCCCAGCTACTCGGGAGGCTGAGGCAGGATAACCACTTGAACCCGGGAGGCAGAAGTTGCAGTGAGCTGAGATAGTGCCATTGCACTCCAGCCTGGGCAACAAGAGAGAAACTCCATCTCAAAAAAAAAAAAAAAAAAAAAAAAAAGACCTAGTTCTAATGAGAAGACATACATGAAGTATTTAGCATAATTCTGACACATGGTAGAATCTGAAACATTGCTACTTCCCTTTCTATTAATTTCCTTGGAAAATACACTTCTTTCTACATTATATAGCCCAATGTAAAATATACATGCAATCATCTCTTTCTCTATTCACCTTTTTCTTTGGAGATGGGGGGAGCTAAAGGGGAAAGCAATGTAGAAGACAGCAACAACATGTGTTGCTATACTTCATTCTTGTTACACTGCATAATCCTTGCCTTATTGCACTTACCTGACCCATTTTAGAGATTTGTCCACTTGTAAATATGCCACAGTCTCCGTTTTATTCTTCTTTGGGAAGTAATCTGGTATGCATAAATACCTAATTTATGAGTTAATAGCATCTGTTCCAGGAAAGTTATTGTACAAGAAGGGAAATCATGGCCTTACATTTTTAAATAAGTTTTCTTGAAATGTGATCACAGCACCATACTGTAACATTTGGTGTCTATCTTCTTGGTCAGTTTATAAATTGAAACTGATGCTACAGTATCACATGGGGAAATAAAATTCCCTTAATTAGAAAATTATTAGATAAGAAAATTTTACTGGAGTGTAAAAGTCACCTGGAAAATGAACGTAATCAATTATTTAAAACAAGAAATTCTGTTGGAGTTAACAGAGGAACAGAGTCACATAAAGTTCACTCAAATAGCAGCAAATCTGGCAGAATACCTGCAGTAAAATGTGCTTACCATAAAACTGATTTTCAGAAATTGAATGAGTGGATTGAAGGGGGAATTTGATAGTAAATCACTTACTTACCTCTTCATACAACCATTTTATATCTCTTGTAACCTAGAAAATGATTCTACGTATTGCAAAAACAGGGAATTTTTGTGTGTGTGTGGGGGGGTGGTAATTTAGCTAAAATTAAGGCCAACATTTTTCAATATTAAAAATATGTGATCCATTATACTTGAATAGCAGTTCAATATTATGGGAATTACTATTTCTGATTTTTGTGTGTAGGCCAGCATGACTCCTTGAATGAAACTCATGACTCCTTTGAGAACTGTGAACTATATCGAGGGCCACTAGAAGTCAATAATGGTAGTTATCATTTTCCTGAGAACTTAAAAAAGGGAGCGGAATTCCAAGATATTTGTTGATAAAAAGATCCTCAGTAGATAAAGGCAGCAATTTGCGAAAATGTTAGGGTCTTCCAAATTTGCACGGTGATGACTAGCAACCGAAAATGAAGCAAGTGGCCAAAATTCTCCATATAAATGATTGTTCTGAAAGGACTATCATGTGTGTTGATTGCAGTGGCACCATTAAGTTGGGGACCTCCCTGATTGGTATAAACAAGCTTCCTGTGCCAACATAATCCTAGATCTTAAATAGATCATAGCTATTTTATATTCTGAATGAATATAACGTCTTCAATTTTACTCAATAATATTTTAACAACATCCTTTCCTGAATACCTTTAGCAACATTTAAGAATTTTAATTGTTTGTTTTGCCTTTCCAATAAGATCTTAAATAATTTCAGGACTGGGTGTCAGTTGTCCCTATTCATGTTGCTTAGCTTGGTTCTAAAAATTTAGTCTTTCAAAAGTATGAGAAAAATTTTGCAAGTAAATAATTTAGAAAGCATGATTCTCTCTCTCTCTCTCTCTCTCTCTCTCTCTCCATTTTAAAAATTGTGATAAAATACACGTAACATAAAATTTGCTATTTAAACTATTTTAAGTGTACAATTTTGTGGCATTAAGTAACATTGAACATTGTTATACAATGCATCATCTCATAAAACAGCTGGACTTTATTGATAACTGCAGAGTCAGATATCTTAGCAATGAAATATGCCTCAAGGATATAAGTCTTAGAGTAAGAGTCTAGCACGGGTATTTATATGGCTCATCATATCAAAACGGTGAACAACATAGCTAACATCCTTAATACTTCACAATTCTTTTACTTGATACTCCTAGGATCTATTGCCTGATTTTAAAGGCTAATAAAATCTCTCTTTTACACTTTAATGATACGATTTAAATAAGATATGTAATAGATTTATGTTCTAGGCATAAAATCATGTATTTATTTGTGTATTCTAGTGTGGAATTACTAGAAATAATTTTAACATGCATACTTATTCATCTGTCTTTCTATAAACCAGAAGATATGTTAATGATTTTTTTAATTCTATAATTAAATACTTAAAGACTGTAAATTATAGGAAAGGAGGAGCAACATACTTTAATACAAGAGGTGTACTGATTTACCAATTCATAAATGAAAACTATCTTAGGATGCTAAGAAATAACTCATCTTCTAAATGTGAGCTTGGAGGAGTGTGAACTATATATAAAACAGGAATACTATTTAAGAGTACAGAGATGGAAGATTATAAAAACTTCAGCATTTTATAAAGACACAAGGTATATAGCTCGAAGCTTTAGATATGCATAGATCTAATTTATGCAAATCAGAGGTACATCTGGCCATTTTGAAAGTTGGACAAGGACTCACAATCATGAACAAAAGCAATTAGCTGGGTTATGGTGTTCTTAATTGCAGATGGTATCATGCCAATTTATCCATACCTCATAGAGTTTTTCTGTTTATGCCCATTGAATAGCATTGTTTATAACTGCTCATAGACTTGTTTGCCTTTATAACTTGTGCATGTATCTGTCAATCTGTTAGTCGAGAAGAAAAAAAATACTTTGAAATATAATTTGAAGCACATTTTAAACTATTTGCATTAACTATCTCTAAGAAGGTTTTAGAGTATTTTAAGAGACTGACATTTAGAGTGTATAATCTTTCATGTAAAAGTTCCTTCTTTGTCTCCTGAGGCTTCTGTTTATATATGAAGAAAACGGCAGTGTGACATTTGCTATTAGTGTCTGCTGAAGGAATGATACAACTTCAGGATACTTCTAAGATTTATAAACTATGGCAAATATTAATAAAACCATCTTTAGAGCATAATACTTTATTTTTTAGTAAACTCATTACATATTATGTAGGCCAACTTTTCCACCATAAAAAAATACCTTTATTTTAACAATGCTCATATCTCTCTGTGAATCATATGTCTAGTCTCTCTAAGAGGAAAAAAATGCAAGTTTTAAATTATCACTTACTGGGGTGTGAACTTGAAGAAGACAATCTTTCCATCAGTCTTTTCTAAGCTGTAAGATAGGGAAAATAAGATGTTCCTATAATTTGAAAATCCAGTGAGATTATGTACTACAAAGTTTTCAGCAGAGTAGTACAGAAAATTAAATGTTAACTTTTAAAAGTTTAAAATTATTTTACATTTAAATAACTCCTAAACCCTTCCATCGTTTTCTTTTAACTTACACTTTTTTTTTTGTTTAAGTACTCCAACTTGTTTATAAGTAAGCACTGGATTGTCCACTAGAATGTACAGTATGAAAGATGGCTCAAAAGGAAATAGTGGCACGCTTTAATAAACCCCTTTCTCTAAGTCTCACTAGGGTTGTAAAATGACGTTGGAATACTAGTAAGTTATCAATGCTCTTAGAAATACATTGTTTTAAAACTTTGTTTTGTTAACTGATCCAAATACTGCTAATACAAATATTCCAAGCATTAATTCTGCAAATGGCTAGCAAATCCTTAAGTTTTTGAGTAATCATTTTCTGTATTTTCGATTGAGTGTGATCTTATCTCTCCTACTTGCATCAATTTGATAGCATTAATACCTAAAGAATACATTCCTTTCTAGAAAACAATAGAAATTTGAAAGTAGATGAGATTATTTCATAATAATATGGTACTTTAAGTGATTTTTTTTTTACATAGTAACTGATACTGGGTGGAATTTTATTATAAAATTCTTTTTTTAAGAAGTGCTTTGATACTCAGAGAAAACAAGCAACCTACATAACACATTACTCAATTTGTCCAAGCCTTCAAATAAGATGCCTTGTTGAGCACTGTTTCTGCTTTTACCCAAGGCAATGATCAGAAAAACATACACACATAAAACAAACAAAAACTCTCAGCGTGTGGAGATTCAGCATGATGTGTGCTAGGCTGAGATTTCCAACTGCAGTCAAATAACTGGGAGAATCTAGTATAAATGGAGCTCACCTCCGTAACAAAAAAATTGGAAAATCTGCTCAGTATATTAGAATCCGAGTGTGTTGAATTTGTGTTTTAGTTTAGTTGATGTAGAGATTACAAACTTGCAGCACTTTTAAGCAATCTATGCATCATCATTTGATAATCAAGTGAATTGCAATTGAAGATCGCAAGGATGCTATTGAAGATGCTGACCCGTGTCTTTTCTATGAGGAAGAATAGGCAAAATGAATATCTGTACTCCGTTTCAGGAATATACATGGGTTTCACAAACAATTTCATTCTACATGTTGAACACTGTGACTTTTTTAGTGACTCTATTTTTCTCTTTAAATTGGATTCTAGAAAGCTTATAACCAATTAAGCTTCCCATCTTTAAAAAGATTATATGTACACCTTTTTTAGTCAAGTAAACCTGGGTTTGAATCCAAAATGTGTCATATTCCTCCTCTGAGCTTCAATTTCTGTATTGTATCCTGCAGTTAATGACTATTTCACAGGCCAGTGTTGACAATAAAATGGGTGGAGGGTTTTAAAGCACATAAAATCGCGTCTGGTACTTAGATTTTGAAATATATTCTTGTTGTGTGCAAATCTCATCAGGCTGCTGCATTATCGAGCAGATGGTTAATAGCGCCCCCTGTAGGCGAGCAATGTACAACATACAAACCACAGGCCTTTACTGCCTTACTTTTCCATGAGTATTTTCTTTTCCTTAAAACACATTTTCTTACTTCTTTCAATGTATTTAAACTTGCTGTGTTGCATGCATTTTGATACCAACCTTAAATTCTGTTTGTAATAGAGCACAGGCAATAAAATTAAAAAACTAATATGAAGAGATTATTTTCCCCTACAATTGGATTACATAAAGTATAAAGGTCTTAGAGAAGAAACATTCTTGTTTAATTTCTCTTCTCTCCTTCATGGTAGCTATTGTGCAGATTTTTTTTTAGTATGTATTGTTTTGAATGGTATATTAGAGCTCTCCAGAGAGACAGAATCAATTCCAGATAGATAGATAGTAGGCAAGTAGATAGATAAGTGAGAAGGCAATTTTTAGGAAAATTGGCTCACACAATTATGGAGGCTTAAGAAGTCCCATGACAGTCCATCTGCAAGCTCAAGAAACAAGGAGGCTGGTAGCATGACTCTGTCCAAATTCAAGTTCTTCAGAACTAGGGAAGCCCATGGTGTGAATCTCAGTCTGAGGTCAAAGGCCTGAGAACCCACGGAGCTGCTGGTAGAAGTGCTGGAGTCCAAGGACTGGAAAGCCTGGAAGTCTAATGTGGAAGGGCAGGAGGAGAAGGGAGGCCCCGCTCTAGGGAGCTCTCCCCCTTTTTGTTCTCTCTGGGCCCTCAGTCTTTGGATGGTACCCACACACATTGAGGAAGGATCTTTCTTACTAAGTCCACTGAGTCAAATGCCAGTCTCTTCCCAAAACACCCTCAAAGGTATCCTCAGCAGTAATGTCTTACCAGCTATCTATGTATCCCTTAATTCCATCAAATTGACAGCTCAAATCACAGAGGGGAAGAGGGGGAACGCTGTGGGCAGAACCTGCGTTCTTAGAGTTCACTACTACTGAGACAGACTACAGTCCAAATAATCACAATTCACTCTGCGAAGTGGTACACAAGAAATGCAAGAAAGAAATCTTACACAGTTTAGAGTGTATGAAGCATAGTTTATAGGGTAGAAGTAGGGAGAGAAGGCAGAGCCAGTAAAGAGTGGTAAGGATTGTTACCTACAATCTTTCCTTCCTCCCTCTTTCTTTCTTTCTTTCTTTCTTTCTTTCTTTCTTTCTTTCTTTCTTTCTTTCTTTCTTTCTTTCTCTTTCTCTCTCTTTCTTTCTTTCTTTCTTTCTTTCTTTCTTTCTTTCTTTCCTCCCTCCCTCCCTCTCTCTTTTCTTTCTTTCTTTCTCTTTCTTTCTTTTCCTTCCTTCCTTCTTTCTTTCTTTCCTTCTTTTCTTTCCTCTCTTTCTTTTTTTTTTTTTTTACAGTCTGTCTGTTGCCGAGGCTGGAGTGCAGTGGCAGGATCTCGGCTCACTGCAACCTCCGCCTCCTGGGAGCAGGCAATTCTCCTGCCTCAGCCTCCCGAGTAGCTAGGATTACAGGCGTGAGCCACCACACCAAACTAATTTTTTTTTTGTATTTTTAGTGGAGATGGGGTTTCACCATATTGGCTAGGCTGGTTTCAAACTCCTGACTTCAGGTGATCCGTCCACCTCGGCCTTCCAATACGGACAATATTCTGAACGTTTTATATGAAATTTTAAAGTTTGCACTCCTCTCTGTAGGCACATTGACATAGTTTTTCATTTTAATCAAACGTCTCAATTTGACATAATTATAAATTCACATCCAGTTGCCACCCCATGGTAACATCTTGCAAAACTGTGCTACAATATCACAACTCAGATATTGACATGGAAACAGTTAAGTCCCAAAACAGCTCTATCACCACGAGGATCCCTAGTGATGCATTTTTATAGGCACACCTACCTCCCCTCCACACCCAATCCTGATTTCTGGCTTTTGTTAACATATGCTGTATAAATGAAATCACACTGGATGTACCTTTTAGATTCTTTTTTTTTCCTTCAGTGTTATTCCCATGAGACGCATGTAAATTGTTGCACCTATCAGCGGCTTGTTTCTTTTTCTTGCTGACTGCTATTCCATGGTAAGACTATCCTATATTATATTTAATCATCTAGCCATTGAAGGATATCTGGTTTGTTTCCAGTTTGGGGTTATTAAGAATAAAGCTGCTATGAATATTTGTGTGCAACTTTTTGTGTGAGTATGCTATTTCCCTGGAATAAATGCCCAGCAGTGCAATTACTCAGTTGAAGAAACTACCCAATTATCTTGCAAAATCACTGTACCATTCTAGCTTCCAGCCAGCAATATACGAGTGACCCTGTCCCCACATCTTTGCCAGCATTTGGTGTTGTTCTTTGTTGAATATTTTATTTTAGCATTCCGATAGGTGTGTAGTGTCATCCTAGGTTTCCAATATGGGATGATTGGTTAGATCAATGTTTTTTAGAGGAACCTTTCTAATGGCAAAAAAAAAAAAAGAAAAAAAAAAGAAAATAGAATGAAATGAGAAATTAGAGTCAATGATGTAACTTAGAAGTAGATTTCAGTGACTTAGGTTAGAAAGAAAAACCTAATCTGAGGCAGAAGAAATGAGGGTTGGAAGGAATTGCTGTGTGTCTTATAATAGTCTTGTAAATACATTATTCAGTATTTGTATATAATTCTCGATTGGCAAAGCAGAACTGGCTGAATTATGTAAATTCCATGGACATTTCCTTTAATTTTCAGTTGCAGAATGTTGCTATTATATAGGAACCTAGCTCATTTTATATGATTCAAACATGTATCTGTTCTTCAGAGCACAGCTCCATAACACAAATGCTAGTGATCATCCTTTAAGCTAGATTACTTTTGTGAATGTAGTTTATAGATTTGACAAATTAATTATCCTTATCCTAAGGATAGTCATTGGAAAAATAGAAACATTTCCTGATATATTTTTCTGTCCATATATTTATTTAGAAATCTGCCTGTCTACCTACTATCATCAATTCATTTTTCTTGACTTTTGGGGAATTTTTTAATGATCCCAACAGAAGCTTAAATAAACATGAGTTAATAATTACATATCAAAACAGAGGCTACCAAGAAGAGCACCAAATATTACAGAGGAAATCTTTTACGAAGCTCAAGTACTAAGGTTATATAATTCTAATAAGTAAAATAAAGAATATAAAATAATGAAACCATTTTTAAGGAGATGAGCTAATGGGGTCCACCAATGCAAATTGTAGATATATATTTACTTTCAGTCATATAGACATAAAGAACAATTAAAGTCTATATTGTAGCATTAAAGAGCTCCATACTGTATTATGATTTTTTTCAGACATATGGTCTTTTGTGAGCACAAAAATAGGTAGCGTTTTTAAAAACTGATTTTGAGACTTAAATTGAAGTATTGAAAAATACTAACCTAACACAGTGATTAGCTATACCCTACATTATTACAGATGGTTGTCTTATTATCCAAGGGAAAAATATAGAATTCCAGATTCTTCTATTACAGATAGAATCTATTGCCACAAATCTGAAAATCAATAAAACTTGTTTTGGGAGAGTAAATGATTACTTGGTAATTTATCTTCTACACCATTTCCAGTGAAAATATACAAAGATTGTGTGTGAGTCTAATCAGGTGTGGAGTGCTATTGAAAAGTAAGAACCGCTGCTCAGAAAAGGGAAATGAGATTTTTGAGGAACTACCTGATTTTTTTTCATTTTATTATAAGAATAACAAAATGTTAGAAGCATGATTATTATGCTTGCTAAATATGCAAAACTGATGGTGAAGTGTGGGCTCATAAGTGAAGCCGCTGATGGGCGGGTCTATTTTCTAGAGTTCTCCTCTACTGCATCCAGTCTGTTGCTCCCTGAAGCTGTTATTCCTGTTACTTCTGTTTCTATCATCCTGAAGTGATGATTTCATACAAAGATATTCATTTGGCATGAAATTCTTATAATTTTATCTAGAAATATGCAAAATAAGAACATTAATAAATTATCCATATGAATGTACTTTCAAGGTGTTAATAATTTATGTCAGATATTCTCATATGAGTCCTTTCCTCAAAATGGCTTTTTTTCCAGTTGATTTATAAAACTTAGTGCAATAGAATTATGACCTTAGAATCTTATGCTTAGGAAACCTTGCAATTATAATTGTCCAGATGTTTTTTTTTTCTGCTGAAATTTTGCAGGCCACTCATTTATGAAAATGTCAGCTGTGTGTCTGTGTGCACACGCATGTGCACATGTGTGTATTTAATTATTGGATAAAAAAAGAAGTTTAAAATAAATAACAACTTGGTCACTTAAAATAGTTAAATCTTCTGTATTATTAATGAACATTATTTGTATATTTGTATATGTCCCATATAGCACATTGAATTCTTACTCTCTAAGCTAAACTTATTTTTCTCATGCTTTGTTGGGAATTCAAATTGCTATGTTGTTTCTCCCAAAGATATTTGGATTGTAACTTTTATATCTAGTTGTTAGTAGATTATAGCACCTGTTAAGTTATTTTCTGACATTGATGGGCAAGTCAATGACTATTTTGTAAGGTCTGCTTTTGAGGTGGTATTGAACATACATACATCAGCCCTACATGACTTATAGTCATGAATGAAATGATCCCAAGATGCAGAAGTTTAGTCATGGTATACAATGTGCTTTGACATTGCCTATGTTAAAAATATGACCAACTTCAGTCTGGGCTAGTTACACAATTACTAACAAGCCAGGTTACTAGAGCTCTATTTCAAAACTTCATGTGGACCAGGCATGGTGACTCATGCCTGTAATCCTAGCAGTTTAGGAGGCCGAGGCCGGTGGATCACATGAGGTCAGGAAGTTGAGACCAGCCTGACCAACATGGCGAAACCCTGTCTCTACTAAAAATATAAAAATTAGCCGGGCATGGTGGCGGATGCCTGGAATCTCAGCTACTGGGAAGGCTGAGACAGGAGAACCACTTGAACCCAGGAGGCGGAGGTTGCAATTGTGCCACTGCTTTCCAGTCTGGGCGACAGAGTAAGACTCTGTGTAAAAAGTAAATAAAAAATAAATAAACTTCATGTGAATTTTCATGTTACAAAGCTTTATGTAAAAATATATGAGGCATAAAAGTTTGTATACTTAAGAAACAAACATACTTATATGTAAATGCATGTACCTATAGGGTTCTCCAGAAAGAAGCAATAAGATGAGTAGAGACAGAGAGAGACAGAGAGAGGGGAGACGGGGAAGAGGTAACTTATTAGGGAAATTGGCGTGCATGATTATGGAAGCTGAGAAATCTCATGACGAGTCTTCTGCAAGCTGGAGACCGTGGGATGCTTGTTATTTGTCTTGGTTCAAGTCCAAAGGCCTCAGAACAAGAAAAGCCAATGGTATAACTCTTGGTCTGAGGCCAAAAGCCTGAGAATCAGTGGTGTCACTAGTCTTTAAGTCCTGGAGTCCAAAGGCCAGCAGGACTGAAGTTGTCCAAGGACAGGAGAGAAAGAGTCCAGCTTCAGTAGATAGATTAACATATTCACTTTTTCTTTTTGTTCTCTCTGAGCCACCAGCAGATTGGATGGTGCCCTACCACACTGAAGATAGATCTTCCCACCAGGTAGTCCACTCAGACTTACCTTTATCTCCTCTGGAAACATACTCACAGACACACCCCAAAGTAATACTTTACTAGCTTTCTAGGTATTTCTTAATCCAGACAAGTTAACACCTAAAATTAACATTACACTGTACATATTATCCTAATCGTGTATACATAAGATGCAGTCCATTTTAGTTAATGAACTATTTTAACAGAAAATATCTTATTGTTATAAATGGGAAAGTTAGGGTATTTCGACAAAAATAGCTTATTTCAACATCTACATGACAATCTCAATGTAATATATAAAAACGTGCTTATTTTATTTATTTATTTATTTATTTATTTATTTATTTATTTATTTATTTATTTACTGAGGCAAGGTCTCGCCTGTTGCCCAGGCTGGAGTGCAGTGGTGTGATCTTGGCTCACTACAATCTCTGCTTCCCGGGTTCAAGTGATTCTCATGCCTCAGCCTCCCAAGAAGTTAGGATTACTGGTGCATGCCACCAGGCTCAGCTAAGTTTTGTATTTTTAGAGGAGACGGGTTTCACCATGCTGGCCAGGCTGGTCTCAAACTTCTGATCTCAGGTGACCCACCGCCTTGACCTCCCAAAGTGCTGGCATTATAGGGGCATTATAGGTGTGAGCCACCGCTCCCAGCCTATATATAAAAGTGTGTGCTTCTAATGGCTATATTTCTATTAACTACTATCAGTGTAACATTGTAAAAGGCACTGAATTAAAACCTCTTGGAATTCTAATCCTGGTTATGATCTTGCATGAATATGTAATCTCAGGATGATAACTTTTCTTGTACAAATTATTGTCCATAAAGTGAAGTGTTTGTGCAATGTCCATCTCTCAGGTATCTATGATCAAATTGTGACATTCACAGTGGCTTGTTGAAAGCTTACAAGTTTACGTGATCTTATTCCCTGCTTTACTATTTTCAAAATCTCTGTGACTACTAATGTCTAATCACTTTAATTAACTAGTCCTTATGACATGTCTGCCCACAGAGACCAATCCTCACCATCCTCACCACATCACCAATACGGATTGAGAGTCTATTGTAGTAATCTACATATGCAACATGTGAAGCATGTTTGAAATTTCAGCTTCTGCTTACCCAGCTGTCCACGATACTGACTGGTTATTTCAGATTATGTCCAATGTATCCATGAGACATTTCATCTGTCTCTCTATGCCTCCTTCCTCCTCATCACTTTACCTAGTACCCTTAGCTATGTGGGATCAGACTTTGTTAGGTTGAAGGGTTAACATTTAAGCAAACACCATATTTCTAGTCCTCAGTCTGGGCAAGTTTTTAGGCCTAGACATTTCCTGTGCTTCTTACCAGTGATGACTGGAATTTGGATCTTGAAGCTCACTGCTCTCACTCCATGGCTAATCATAAACAAAGGATGGATTTGCTTTAGCAACATAGGTTATCTCTATGTCTAATTAGTGCATCCTTGGCTGGGGTTCTGCTAAGGTAGCAAAAAATTGGCTTCCAGCTTTGTGCTGCTAATGAGGATTTTAGTTTGCAAGTATGCTTTGCCTGTAGCAACTTGGTGTGTTCTCTTCATTTTCGGTCCACTTACTGTCAGTCCACTACAGTGTTCCAATTCTGTAAAATGATACATAGGCCCAAGAATGTCTTCCTGTTATGTCTCTAGGGCAAAAAGTGTTCCCTGGCTGAATCATGTAAGGTCCCTCAATCTGTTCAGCTTTCCCTGGTATTACTAACCTTCAAAGACTTAGTTGTTTCATCTCTTTTAGAAGTATAGAAATGTTCAAATGAACCGAAGTAAAACAAAAATTCCAACTCTGTAAAATGTACAATAGAAAATATATACCCAGTGTAAAATCCTCTACTGCATGATATGTTTCTTTAGCTATACATCTAGAGTACATATCTCTTATTTTTCAAATTAGAGGACTCTATCAGTGCGTTGAGAAATTTCTCCTCTACCTCAGTCTAGGGGGTTCTCATAAAATTGTCAGTAGAGCACTTTAGCAAACTCTCTGGTCACAGCAGGAGGCACCTGGTTGTGACCTAGCTAATCCCAGAACCCCATCCCTTTCTCCAAAAAGACCCATTACTCAAGCTGATTACCCTTATTGAGAGTAGATAGACTATAGGAGAGTGAGTCACCTTTTTCTTTTTAAAATTGCCCTCTTTAAAAATATTTAGGCATGTAATAGTTAGTGGCCCCTCCTTCCCCATCAGTGCAAGCCTGAGAAAGAAATTAAGATGGTGACTAGTAGAGAGAGATGAGTCTGAATTAGCTACCATATCAATGAGACTACTCTTATAATTTTCATTTATGTGTATCCGTAAGTTCCTTTTTTGCTTACTCTATTTTCAATTAGAATCTTCAATGAAAATGCATGAACTTACCAAAAATATACTCTTTAAAATGATTGGGCTGGGCGCAGTGGCTCACGCCTGTAATCCCAGCACTTTGGTAGGCCAAGGTGGGTGGATCACAAGGTCAGGAGATCCAGACCATCCTAGCTAACATGGTGAAACCCCATCTCTACTAAAAATACAAAAGATTAGCCTTGCGTGGTGGCGGGCATCTGTACTCCCAGCTACACGGGAAGCTGAGGCAGGAGAATGGCGTGAACCCTGGAGGCGAAGCTTGCAGTGAGCCGAGATGGCACCACTGCACTCCAGCCTGGGCGACAGAGCGAGACTCCGTCTCAAAAACAAAACATAAAAAATAAAATAAAATAAAATAAATGATTGAAATAGTAGCTTGTTATCTAACAGTATGCTAAATTTTTATGTAAAATAAAGAAGATAGGATTATAGAACATGGCTTAATGATTATATGTGAAGACTAGGTTCTTTCACAAAAAGTATGTTTTGAGATGACACTTGCATGATAGTATGATGTCAAACTGTTGGGTGGGAAAAAGGAAGGGGAACTGTGTATAGGAATATATTACAGATAGATTTTAAAAGAGCATGCAAAAATATGTAAAAATAAGAATTTTCAGGAAACTGCAAATTATTCAGCATAGAATGAGTATGTACTGAAGATGACACCTACGTGTAGACAGAAGTGAAAATACTAAGCGCTCAAGACTTCTCTAACCTTTTTGAACCTCAGTGCCCTCATTCATAACAGAGGTAATAATAGTATTTTTCCTAGAGGGTTTTGTGAATTTTAGCACAATCCATGGAAACTGTCTAGCCAAAAGTTCACTCCATAAATGATTTTGCATTTCTATATAGTGAATCATGTGACACCTCTTAGTATAACTACCAGATTGTCAACTTTGTTTTAACATAATTTATTTATTATAAAAATTAGTTATGTAAACATTAAATTTATGTCTTCAATAAAAAGTTATTTTCTTAGAGAAAATCATCTCTGCTTTAGAAGCAGTTGCCTTGCCTGAAAGAGGTAGGCAAGGCTGCCATCTAGTGGCAGTACCTTAGAACTGCGGACATATGGTCCTCAAAGCTGAGAAAGCATTCAAATTCAAATCACACAAAGTGATCTCATTTGAGAACAAAGAACATCCGACGATTGCTGGATACATCAAATTTGTATTCCTGCTGTGCATTTTATGACAAAATCCTGAATCTGACAATTTAAAAAAAATGAGTTTAAAGCAGTGCTTCCCAAAGTCACCTTAAAAATGTTGAGATTCCATGACAATGTTTACACACACATATGGAGGCACAAACATACTCATACACAAATATTAGTATAAAGTAACTAGATTTTCTCTCTTGGAAGTGTTGTTTCCTTTTATAAAATCATAGCGATAGTGCATTCTGACTCTTTTTATTTATTCATTTGGAGTTAATGTTATAATTTTTCAAATTGCAGGGCCAGCAGTCGTATTTCAAATCTCAAATTTTTGACCAAAATTATACATTTCTCCCCTAACCAAAAGTTTGAGAAAATCTGGTTTGAAGGAGTCATCTACTCTTAAAACTATTACTACAGCTCTCCGATAACTATTAACCTAGACTATACCACCCTCCCTTTTATTCTCTATTCATGTGAATAATATCCCCTATTGTATTCTATAATAGTCTTCTATTGTTTACCCAGAGCCACCAAGAAGAGACAGCAACAAATAGAACACAAATGGGGACAAGATCTTATTGTTGGCTGACTAAAATGACCATTGTGACAAAATTCTCCTGGATGTCAAGTCCGGAAAAATATTTGTCACTACTAATGAACTGGCAAACCTTCTATATAGACAATGAAATCTATGTACCCCATCTGAGTCTTTATCCGTTGATTCTCTATTTTTTTTCTTACAAAGGGTTTTCCAGTTTACATTGTGCATTCACCATTCATAAATTACTTTCAACTTGAAGCTTCTTTCAGTTGCATTTAAGGATGCTATGATTTGAACGTGTCCCCCGGAGTTCATGTGTTGGAAGCTTAATCCCCAATATAACGGGGTTGAAAATGGGGCCTATAGGAGGAGATTGGGTTAGAAGGGCTCTACCCTCATGAATGAATGAATGCTGTTATCATGAGAGTGAGTTAGTTCTAGAGAGAGTAGGCTTATTATAAAAGCAAGTTAGGCCCTCTCCTGCCCCGTTGCTCTCTCGCACGTGCTCTCTTGCCCTTCCTCCTTCTGCCATGCAGCAAGAAGGCCTTCAGCAGATGCAGCCCCCTCAACCTTGGTCTCCTGAACTTTAAGACATAAGTTTATTTCATTCAAAAATCGCCCAGTCTGTGATATTTTGTTATAGAACACAAAACAGGCCAAGACAAAGGACATTTTTTTCTTATTTTCTATTATTAAAAACATGTATTTTAATATTTTGTTTTTTTCCAAACACCATCTTACCTATATTTCATGTTTTATTTTTAAAATTAAAAACATTTTAAATGCCTTAAATTTAGCATTGTAATCTGTGAACTCTATTTTTATTGTTGTTTTATTTTTTAACAAGTAAAGTTTTTAAATTGCCCTATAACTATTATTTTATAAACCTTTCTGTGTAACATCAGACAAATGGAGAACAAGTATAAGAAAACAATGTATATTCTGTTTAGAAAGCACATATTCTGCTCACTGTCCCAAAATCAGTCTTGTTTCACTAAAAAATTATCCTCTAACATTATAAGATTTTTATAATCTTACCTATTAATCTCTTTCCTTCCTTCCTTCCTTCCTTCCTTCCTTCCTTCCTTCCTTCCTTTCTTCCCCCCCTTTCTTTCTTATTTTATGTTGTTTATTTATTTTTATTTATTTTTATTTTTTGAGGCAGAGTTTCACTCTTTCACCCAGGCTGGAGAGTGGAGAGCAGTGGCGCGATCTCGGCTCACTGCAACCTCCACCTTCCGGTCATTTTCCTTTTAATAGGTGTCATGTGATGACAGGTAGGAAGTCTGCATTGTCAGATGCACTAATGATTATGTAGTAGTTTCAAAACAAAGCTAAAATTACTGAAGAGTGTGTTCTAAAATGAAAATCAGAAGACACACCACTCATCCTCAACTCTGAAGAAAGCAACAAATACATTGTTTGCAATATCATTTTGAGAGTAGGCGCTGGATTTTCTCTAACATAGGTTTTTATACTGATATGAGAGAGATGTTTTATAATGAGAGTTAAATGAGGTTAAAAACAGGGCAAAGGCCATACTTAAAAAAATAAATAGATCAAGACTTTAGAGTTCTTTTGTTTAACAGCCCTTCTGGAGGGTAAACTTTTATGCAGGTCAAGCACTTGAAACCATAATTTATTCGTCAGCATCACTTTCTCTAGCTATTCTTCATGAAACAGCATCATGATACTTTGCAAAGGAATGTGATTATACAACCTGATAGTACTTGTGTGCACTGATAAAGCAGGAAAAGATGATTGTATTCTTATTCTTTTGCATCTATGAATTTAAATTTCAATTAAATCAGATTAGATATTCTGTTCTATGTCATCTTTATTTAACATTAGTGGTGATTAGTTTCTAATTTCTGTTGCTATTGATATCAACTTTATACCCTCCCATCTGTGATTATAAAGTCGAGTCATTCACACACTCCCATTATATTTATTTGTATTTTAAATTGAAAAGGTGGAGAACTCTTAAAATTTAACAAAGTGTGAAATGTTTCAAATTAGCAGCCACGGTGTTGCAAGTATTAAAGCACAAACTGGGTTGTTGACGTCTTATAGCTGCTAAAAGTTTGAAGCTAATTTCAAATTGTGTTTTATCTTCTCCTTAAAAATAAATGAGTAAATAAATAAATAAAAGATTTTCTAGGTACCTCTGGATCCAGTGGTAATATCTAAGGAAACTAATTAGCAAGATATTTGTATAAGTAGATTTGAGCAAATAAATTTGAGTCATGAACTTAATTTATAATTTTTAAAACTCAATCCTCCAAAAATATACCATCCTACCTTCCTTCATTCTTCCTCATTTTGTTATTTTTCCTTGAATTTTATTGCAGGTGATTGAATCCCAGGTATCCATTTACTCTAGGACTCTTTCTTTATTCCTCATCCTTAGTTTCCCCAGACCCATTTGGTCTCACAATCACTGCCTAGTTTACGACCTAACCATTTCTCAGATGTGTGCATGCAACAGCATCCTAATGGGTCTTTGTGACCAGCAATTTCAACATGCACAAGGCTGCTATGCTGACTTGTCTAAAATGCAGATTTAGTCAGTTCCTTTCATGGCTCCCCATTGCTTAATGATAGAGTCAAGTTTGTTAACATGCAATGAAATAGCTGTTGATTTATTCTGAGTAATTACACTTACTTTTGATTTTCAGAATATAATGGTAAAATTCAGTTCTTAAATGTTACTAAAATTATTAAGGTAATATTAATAATATAAAAAGTAAGTGCCAGTGACCTAATGAAACATTTAAAATGATGAATGGCCTTGTGTAGAAAAAATATGGGCTCAATACAGGTCTCTAATTCATATAGATTTATATAGATATCTAATTTACATAGATATATAGATTCATATAAATATGTATATTGCATTTATATGTATACATATGTATTTATATGTTTGTGTGTATGTGCATCTGTGTGCATGTGTGTACACATTAATGTGTATATGTACATCCTGCAGAAAATGTATATGTTTACATACACATATGGGAAGAAGTCATGACACAGATTTCTTGTTCTATACATGCCTTAGAAATGCAAATAATTCCATTGTTTTTACTCAGCTAAATCATTGTCAATGGCTTTGACATCTACGTTTTGAGGATGGCAAGAAATCATTTACATAATCTCAGTTTACACCAATTATTTCAAATTAAGATCATTCAAATCATTTAAAACCAGGAAACTTCGAAATGTAAGTTATTTATTGACCCATTTAATCATTTCAGTTATTTACTACAATGCTATCAACCTAGAATTTAGTAGCAGTTTATCCCATTGCATATGCAGGAGGACAGTATCTTCAACAGAATGTATCAAATTGTCTAACATCATTCATGTTTAATATTTCTTTTGTTCCATTTAAGAAAAAAAAATAAGAAGAAGAAATAACCTTTCCGATGCATCTTAGTTTGTGAGAAACTGTGGGTGGTAGTTTAAAAGGTGGTTAGAAAATTATCCCCTAAAGACATTTTAGGTTAAACAACTTTCAGAATAAGATTAGAACTAACCCAACGGTATTGGAATGAAAGGGTGATGCGGGTGGTAAAGGTGGCTTGTGGCCAAAAACTAATTAGCATTGCATAAATTACTAATCAAATTTCCTTTTTCAAATATAGATATGATTTATTCCAGGGAGGGTCCTGGTATAATTGACCTAAATAATGACCTATTTTTTCTATCTTTCCTGGTATCAAATAAAAGTCTTCTGATAAATGGGAATTTGTCAAGTGAATTTCCTGATATTATTTCATTAACAAATTCATAATTTTGTTAAAACTACAATGCAGAATGAATCCTATTACAAAAACCTTGCAAAATACTGTCAAATTTTATATTATAATAATCTTTCATTTGTATATTTCACTTGTGATAATTAAGTTAATACATGTAAAACAGTTTAGAACAGAATTTGTTAAATGCTAAATGCTTAGAATATGTTAGCTGTTATTTTTACTATTATATGTAGATTCATTCCAGTACACAAAGATCTTGATTTCTATATACACACATTTAAAATGGAGAAGTATATTTGAAGTCTAGTATGACGTTTGGTTTTTTGTTTTTACTTGTTGAGACTATTGAGCATAAATTATCATTACATGAAATGTTCCCATAGATTATTTTTAATGATTACTCTGCACACTATGTTTAGAAACATGCCTAATTTTTAAAATGACTTTAATCACTTGAATTTACATTGCACGTACATTTGTCCACATTTGAATGTTCTTTTAAAACTTTTCAATGTGCTCTTTCATTCATTAAGCCAATCAACAAACAACAGAAATATTATATACTACACTAGGTCTATGCATAAATATTTATGATATCTATTTTGAGGAAGAAGCTAATGTCTAGACATTGAGACCTACGGGAATAAAAACAGTCATTCTCTCTTGTTATATATGTTAAACAGAAACACGTAAGAATTAGAAAAAATTCTTCCTGAAAAAGTCAAGGTTGTTTCAAGAAAAAAAAAAAAAGGACTTTGAGGGTGAAAAAGAACATATGAAGCAAGAGAATAAAATGATCTATGAGGAAGAAATCATGCTTCAAGCTATCGAGTCATTTTAAAAGTATATTTTTTTCTTTTCTGTATTTGCAGCACAATTACAAGCAAGTTTTTGTTAAACTACCTTTAATTTAAGAGGGCATTTAAATTGAACCCTGTAACACTTGAGAGCTTGCCCAATAATCCCTGAAGCTGAATAAACTTGCTCATACATGGAAAACTGGGCTATCATTTCTTTGCCTTCCAGCAGTGTGGTAATTACATGGGCAATATCTGGACAAAAGTGAAGCCAAATAAAGACATTATCAGACATCTTAAGTTCTTAGTGAGCTTCGAGTATTTATACTTCAAAAAAAAAAAAGGTGAACTGAAGGTTTTAAATATATAATGTGGTTATGATGAATTTTAAACCATGCTATTTTATTTGAAGTGTTTTTTGTTTTGTTTTGTTTTGTTTTGTTTTGTTTTTTAATGAAGTCTTGCTCTATCACCAGGGTGGAGTGCAGTGGTGTGAACTCTGCTCACTGCAACCTCCACCTCCTGAGTTCAAGCAATTCTCCTGCCTCAGTCACCCAATAGCTGGTACTACAGGCACGCGCCACCAAGTCCAGCTAATTTTTGTATTTTTAGTAGAGATGGGGTTTCACCATGTTGGCCAGGATGGTCTCGATCTCTTGATCTCATGATCCGCCTGCCTCAGCCTCCCAAAATGCTGGGATTACTGTCCTGAGCCACCACGCCTGGCCCTTAATTTGAAGTTCTAATAATAGAGTCACTCTAAAATTTTGAGAGAAAATAAATCCCAATAAAATATAAGGAAGCATGAAAAGTAACAATAAGCCAGAAAGCATAATTAGGTGAATCAATCAATGGAATCCAAAAATTGTTCTAGCAGATGATAACTGATTCATTGATCTGCTTGTTAAACGAGATTTTTAGAGATGGTTTATTGCAGAAGTAGTATATGAGTACTGTCTTAGTTAGCGCAGGCTGCCATAACTAAATAAATGTTGATGCCTTCAACAACAGATATTCTCAAGTTTTGTTGAGGGCTCTCTTCCTGGCTTATAAACAACTGCCTTCTGGCAGTGTTCTTACATGGAAGATGGAGAGAGAGCAAACTCTGTGGTTTCTTTTCTCATGAGGGCACTAATCCCATCATGAGGACCCCATCTTCATAATCTCAGCTACACAGAATTAACTCCCAAAGGCCCCATGTCCAAATACCATCACATTGGGAACTGGGCATAACATTTGAACTCTTGGCAGACATAATTAGACAACAGAAAGTACTAAAAATAGAGTTGTCAGCTATTTATCTTGGAAAGTATTGTACAAATGCTAGGAATCTAATAGAGTGAATGAAATGGGTGAGTAGAATCTCTGCTTCACCACATCCTTGTTGGTGACGGTTGGCAAGTCATTTACTTACCTTCTCTGAGCATTAGTTTCCAAATTTGTAAAATAAGGGTGGTAATAATACCTACCCCAAAAAAGAAAAAAGGTGTTTAGGACTGAAAGAGATAAATTACTTATGTGTTTAGTACAGTGCCTGGTGTATAGGAAGTGCTGAATATATGTTGGTGGGGATTTTTAATTATTATTTACTATACGTTAGGAATAAAGTTCAAATAGATTCCTGAACTTCATGACAACTGGCAGTCTTTGAGTCCTACATGTCTTTAGTACCACAGAAGCAGCTATTATAAGAACTCGAAAAGCCTGAGATGTGTATGGCTTTGTAAATTTGGGTCTCTGTTGAATTGATGATGGCTTCATTCACTCATTTAGTCAGCCAGTTTGTATAAATAATTTTTGAGAACCAGGGTTGGATATTTTCCTAGGTTGCCAAAGGCGAACTTCACCATATTCACACTGTTGTTTAGAATTGGAGATCTCAAGTTGAGGACTTTTTTTCTGGAAACGACTGTCCTACTAAAGCAATAGTAAGTGGTCACAGGAGGGTGAAAGTTATATCTTTTGCTTATCTCTAATCATTGTCATTCTAAAAACAATAAAGTCAACATGAAAAGCTTTGGAAACATAGTGGAAATTGAGCAAATGGTTTCATTTTAGAATCATTCTAGATGGTTGAAACTAAACTTTTAAAAGTTCAATAGGATTATAGAAGATGTTTATTTTTAAATACATTATCATTAAATGTGGGAGCAAATGGGACAAAAAATAAACTTTTAAATAATCTGTAAAGCAACAACCAAACCTTTTAAAAAGGGTAATAGATTTATGAATAGTATCTGTTCTAATAATTTCCATATATTAAAAATTACTTGAAATCAATGTGTTTCAGCAAGAAATATTAGCATGAAATTACATTTTTTTAAAGAGAACCATTCAAAAATAAGCAGAATGCTTATCAGAATCAAGATTATGAAATATTGCAATTTTGAAATATAAATTTGAAAATTCCAACTATAGAAAATTTCCCAATATAATGACTACCACTTGTACTTTTAAATATATGCATTTATTTAGATTACTTAGCCTGTTCATGAGGACATCCATAGATTCAAAAAATTACTTTCTACCCTTTATTTATAATGCAATTTGTCATATTGTTAAAATTATGCAAAAATTTTATTTGTAATTAGTAGAATTGAGAAACTATTTTTGGTTAGTGTAAATTTAGCTTTATGGTCATCTAGCTTTTACATATACATATAAACATATAATATGTGTATACTTCAGTTGTAATATTTAATGATCTTTAAGAGCCTCACATTTTAAATAAAAACCAAGAAAAATGCAGGTGTCAGGAAAGCAGTCTGTAGAATACTGATAATATTCCACTGGGAGCATTCTGTATATTTCAGTCTAGAGGAAATTAATCCCTCTACCTTAATCACTTCTGGTTGGGTTCATTTTTATACTAAGATATAAAGTTCAAATTTAAACACAAATAATATGCAAATAATATTATGCTACCCGTTTATCTACAGTAATGCAAAGAAATTCGAAGACTTAACTACTTGGTTTTATTTGTTTATAAATATATGTTATGGTGCTTGCCGTCAAAAGGGGATAATTAAATTTCCCAAGTTTCCTAAAGATGTGACATTTAAGTTGCTACACCACCTTACTGTTTCTAATGTTAGTAGTGTGAAAATGTACTTCCCCTTTTTTGTCCCAGAAGTTCACATGGCCAAAATTGACTTGAAAAAGAAAAGAAAAATAGGATGATATTGGAACGTGCATTGTCTTTGTAAGGGAAGCACAATATTTTTAATTTTTCATGGATTCTGAGACAGATTGGCTCTGCTTGTAGCATCTGAAAGTTACAACTCAAGACAGTTCTTATATAATTACCTCAAGAACCTGTCATTTAATTCCATCATTCCTGAAATTTAAAGCTTGTGCTACTTCTAAGCTAACTTCTTGTGGGAACTGATAAAGATTTTATCAGTTAAATTTAATCTTCATCAGAGAATAAACCTGAAGAGAGATTTGTGAAATCGGAAGTACAGTGGTCACCCTTTAGCCGCGGTTTCACTTTCCATGGTTTCAGTTAACTGCCTTCAACTGCGGTTGAAAAATATTAAATGGAAACTTCTAGAAATCAACAATTCATACCTCTTAAATTGCATGCCATTCTGAGCAGCGTAATGGAATCTCATGCAGTCTGCTCCATGCCTCTCGGATCCTGAATCATCCCTTGGTCCAGCATATCCACTCTGTTGAAACCACCTGGCCATAAGTCACTCAGTAGCTGTCTTGTTATCAGATCAACTGTGGCAGTATTACAGTGTTCGTGTTCAAGTAACCCTTACTGTAATTTGGATCCACAGTGGATCCAAAGTGCAAAATTATTGATGCTGGCAATTCAGATATGCCAAACAGAAGCCATAAAGTGCTTCATTTTTAGTGAAACGGTGGAAGTTGGTACTTGAAAAGAAAATATATACATATATATGTATATATATATCTTGTATGATGAGGTTTATAAGATCTATGGTAAGAATGGCTCTTCTATTCATGAAATTGTGAAGAAGTGAAAGGAAATTGTTGCTGGTTTTGCTGTTTCATCTCGAATTCTTTATCATAGGAATGTTTGTATAAAAAAACATAGTATATATTGGATTGGGTACTATCTGCACTTTTAGGCATCCACTGACGATCTTGAAACATACCTTCTGAGGATAAGGGGGATCTACTGTAACAATTTTAAACATTTATCAAAATTTGCTGTGTAGGAGATCTGTGTTCTAAAAGCTGTTAATTTCAAAGATGTCACCAGAGACAAAATAATAGAGATTTAGAGTTTGGAGAAATAGGCTTGGTCCCTTTTTAAATGTCACCATGTTACGTAAGTTGTTTTAGCCAGCTGAGCCCTATGATCTTATAATACAGGGGAAAATAAATGCCTCATTTATTTCACAGGGCTGTTGTAAAGATCAAATAAGATAATACAGGTGTGACAGCTCTTAGTAAACTTTAACCATGTAAACATAAATGTTATCATTTTTTTAATGGATATGATACTGCTTAGTGACTCCTATCTAAAATAAAATTAATCTCAGCTGTACTTCTAGGGATTTTGTTCTACAATTCAGTGTGTGATTTTGTTTAAAGGGGAGCCATCACTCATTAAAGTGTGGTTGATGTTCATGCTGTTCCCATTTGTCCGGTTTTTTACCTATCATCCACTGATAGTCATTCATGAACATTTAAAATGTACCACAACAGTCTGCTACAGCACGGCCTGTCTTGCATCCCCCTAGCTCATGCTGGGCTTTCACAATGGAGCCTGCTGAGACAAAACAGTTTCACAGTCTTCTTAGGGTGAATTACTTTCCATTTATCCAGGATAAATCAAATTCTAAGCAATTCATAGCAAAAGCCTCCTTAAAACAAAACAAAAACAAAAACAGAAAAACAATAGAATAAAGCACACAGATTTTCTTTGCAAACTCTAACGTACCTATTTCTGGTAATGAAAATGTGGATGAAACAAGGAAAAATAAAATGATAATTACAAGTGCAATATTTCATAATACAGTTGCTATTTCCCATTTAGATTTCATTAGAAAAGATGATTTGTAAAATAAATACAGTTACAAATATTTCCATTTTGCAGTAGAATTACAATTTATCTTGGGAGCCCAAATATCAGTTAAAATACAAACAGATGTGGCTATTTTAAAGTCACGTATATTAATAAATCTGTTAGGTTGGTGCAAAAGTAACTGTGGTTTTTACCATTCCTTTTAATGAAAACAGCTATATGGCTCAATTTGACCACACAACTTCAATAAGTAGCATCTTGAAAATCCAATGTCAAGTATCATCTCTGAATAACTTTATTACAAAAGAGAAAAGTATCCATGACACTCCAGCAACTGAATCCCCTGAAATAGTCCCCACATTCTAGTGAGTAGGCCTAATGTTTTTCCACTTGGTAAGGACTTAACTTTCAGCCTACAGACAATCATGAGAATGGCCCAATGAGGGGTAGCATGCTTGCCACATGGAGATTCCAGTACATGGAAGGCCAAACAAAGAAGAAATAGTAGATGGGATTCATTTTGATAAAGTTATTTTGGTGTCATACATTTGAAGTTTTATTCTTATTTCTACCAGTCTTCCTGAGATTTAGCTTTCTAATTTGCAAAATGGGTATAATTTACCTACTTCATCAGGAATCTGTAAGGACTGAAAATATTTGTAGATGAGATAGCCTGGCAGGAACTGAATGGGTCAGTAGAAGTTGCTAGGCCATTATGTCTGAGAAAAGATAGGAAGTTAGACATAAACGAAGCCCAAGATATAAAAAATACAGTGACCCAAGTCACGCATTATTTATCGATCATAAAAAATTGAGCAAACAAGAAAAATCTTATTTGTTCCAGTAATAGTAGGGTATATTCACAAGTCATGTGTTTTTCTATGAATTAAAGAATCCAGATAGGTAGCACCTTATCCTTATTCAAAATGAAATGTCTTAGGCAAAGAATTCAGATCTCTCAGTGGGAAAATTGTCTTGACATGGATTGCCACTGAATATATATTAAAGTAAGATGCCAATAGTAGAATTCCTAGCGAGTCACACTAAATAGTCAACCCCTATGATCCTTGGGTGTACATAGAAATTGTCTTGTCTTTGCTTTAACCATGTACCAAATGACTGTCCCTTTTCATGTTTCATGAATAAGTTCATAAGTTTCATGAACTTATTTGAAAATTCTGAAGTGCCTCTTCCATAATGGCAACAAGAAACATTGTGTCCATAAAATTATACGAGTGGATTTCAGTTCAATGACATTTTTTTTTGAGACAGGATTTTGCTCTGTCACCCAGGCTGGAGTGCAGTGGTATGATCTTGGCTCACTGCAGCCTCAACCCCCAGTACTCAAGCTATCCTCCCACCTCAGCATACTGAGTAGCTGGAACTACAGACACGCGTCACCATCCTCAACTAGGTTTTTGGTGGTTTTTGTTTTGTTTTTGTATTTTTTGTAAAAACAGGGTTTTGCCATGTTGCCCAAGCTGGTTTCCAATTCCTGGGCTCAAGTAACCACCTGCTTCAAGCTTTCCAAAATGCTGGGATTACAGGCATTAGCCATCGTGCATGGCTGGCAAAATCTTAAGAAGGGGTAATTTGTAAAACCCAATCCTGACTCATTTCAGAAATAATTTGTCACAGAAAATGATGCATCTATCACCTGTCATAATTGCCAGCAAATATTATTTAAAAGCATATATCCAGGTAACAACAAGATACAAGCATTGTTTAAAAATATGACCACTGTTGATGGTGCATAGACAGATTTTATTCTAAAATTCTGATGTTTTAATTTTAGTAGAGATGTACGGTGGCTTGTGTGGTTAAGGATGTAGAGATGATGTCTAAAATGCATTTCTGCTAGTTGATTGGAGGGAAAATACTCACCCCACATTGACAGTTAAGTTTATGATACAGTGTTGCAAAAGGGAGGAATGCAAGCAAGCAGCAATAAGAGCCAGCAGATCTGCATTAACATTTTATACGTTGAATTTAATAATGTATTCTTCATGCTAAATAACTTTCTGAAACTTATTTCATCTGATTTGAGATGTGATTTGAGAACTGCCAATACGTTAAGCAATCTGCTGCAAAATTGTCTGTTTTCATCTAAGTACCTCTGTATCATCTTTAGCTCTGCTGTGTACTGATTTTTTTATGCAGCCCTACTCAGTAAATCAGAGAGCTTAATCTTATGTTTCCAGTAGCAACAGTATGCTAGGGGGATTATTTTGGCTACATTTTGAGGCCAGTAAGAAAAGGCAAATGTCAGCATCAGGGCAGACACTCTGGTAGGTGCAAATAGTGCACCTGCCTGGAGAACCAATTAGATTAGACAGTAGAAGCAAGGCAACAAGTGGGAGGCAACTGCCAGCAAGGTGGGATTTTGAGTCTGGAGAATGCCTGTCCATTTCATCCACTGCTGGAAGATGCATTAAATATTTCACTGGTAAAAGTTTATTCTTTTAGGTCTTGTGTTTCCCAAATGGCTATTCTTATTAAAATATAAGCACCACAGGGAAGGTCAAAGGCTATGCATTATGTCAGATTTATACAGTTTAGTATGAATGGGTTCATGAGAGCCAGTCCTTAGAAAAGATTTTGATAAAGGGAGTGGTGAGGGAATACTCTAAAGGAGAGACACATGTTTGTGTGTGGGGAGGAGGCTGGGGGTGTCACCCTGTAATGAGTATTTCATTTTACCACTTCACTGTTTTGCTTGACTAACTGCCCAGATGTGAGAGTTCCAACCTTGTTTGAGAGCTCCCATGTGGTTTTAGTTCTCCTGCGGTAATATTTGAGTTTCTGACCCTAAAACCTCAATTACTTAGGCACAATAGCATTGGGTTGATTCCTTTCATTCCAGAGAGAAGTCGTGGTCCAATAGAAAAGACAACAAGTAAAAATCAGTTCCAGTACTGACTAGCTGCAGGACCACTTGACCCTAACCAGCCCATGATCACCCTCTGGTACGTGACTCCCTGTCTCAGAATTGTTCTGTCATAGGTACCAGATTCCATGCTTCATTAGTATCCTGTAGGCTGGTCTAACGCAGGCCTTATACTTGGCTGAATGCAGTGTATAAATATGGTAACACCTGGACATACACATAGGGAACCCAGAGACAAGAACAAATAAATATTTTTAGTATTGATATTTACATACAGTTTTCTCTTTGCTTCTGTTAAGAAGAAATTTGTTTAATTATTTTGAAATTGTACTTTTTATAAGAAAATAGATACAATTATAATCATTGGCAATTTCCTGATCAAATTACATAAAATTTGGTGGACCTTAGTTTAGGAATTTATAAAAAGAACAGTGATCATTAAGAAGGAATGAGAACAAATTTACTGAAAATATGTTATGGGAGGAGTAAGTAAAATACAGAAATGAAAATAAACTTATTAGATTTAAGGGAAAATGCCAATTGGTTAACCAGGTAAAGAAATAGTGGTATTTCTATGACTAGGTATAAGCAAAAAGAAACAGATATACAGTATATCTTAAGAGACACTTTTGTGGAATGTACATTTAAAAACAGGTTCAAGGAGTGTATATTTATTTACATGGTAATAAATATGCAATGAAGCCATCAGCTTGCTGGTCATGGATAGTTCACATGTAGAGAAGTTTTTATCTGTACAGTTCACCAGATCCAGGTTAAAACACTTTTTAGAACAAATAGAGCCAAGCAGAAAAATAGAAAATCATCTAGGGAAATATATTTTGCTAGTAAAACTTATACAGAAGTGGCCTTTGACATATGACAAAGACTATGCTAAGGTAGAGAGAATAGTTTGTCATAAATACCAACCCAGAAGTGAAGTTTGGGGGCAACAAGTGTGGAAGCTGTAAGAAGGTAAGCGCTTTATAGTACTTGACCTCAATGAATTCATTATCTAAATAATTCAAACTTTTAGACTGAAAGCAAAAAAATCATTAGGACAGGTAAATGCACTAGAAAAATACACATGTGGCATGTTAGAGTGTTTTGAAAGAAGACTTGAAAGCAAGACTGTTGGAAGGAAAACATAATTTTTTATTCACTGGGTACTGTGACAGTAAGAAAATTAATTATACAAATTCCATTTAAGCGAGAATGAATGTTTTTGAACTGTTATAGAATGAAAAATAAACATTTAGGGACAAGAATTAAAGGAAAGGCTTTGAAAAATAATGGGTGAAAAGGGTCTGGAACATAGGTGATAAGGAATGATTTGCTAAGAACAAAATGAATAAACTCTATGAAATATAAATTAGTCTATTGACAAATACCTAGAGGAAAGCTAAAGCAATTGATCTTCAACAAAAATAATGTTAATAGAAATATCTTCACACTATAAACAAAAAAGGATAATTTTAGGTTTTTAGGTTATACTATACTCAATATTTTTAAAAATGAATATGAAATTTATTTATTTGGAAACTCATTTTTTTTTTGCCTGTCTTCTTGTTTTTGGTTAATTGGTTGATTGGTATTTTGTAGTGCTTAAGCTAGAATAATTCTGGTTTGCAGTATCTTTTGTGAGGAAAATAAGAGTTTGGTCAGAAGTGCTATCACTGGTCTTGCCTAGTAATATTTCAGTGTAAGTGACTTTCCTGAAAATCAACAATTTGTTGTGAGAACCTTGACACTACTTTCCAGTTTTAGTCCTTTTAAGCCTGTTATTCATCTGAGCAGTTAAATATTTTGTCTTGCTTTAATTTCAATGAAACTGAACCTTCACTGATGCTAAAATTCTGTGCACTCCAGAAATCTGTGAAAATTAAAAAGAATTGAAGATGATCCATTTTCTTAGAGTATGTACTTTTGGAAGTCTGGACAAGTGGGAGTATATTTAAAATGCAAATATTATACTTGAGATGCTAAAATAATTTACATTCTGAGGCTGCAGTTTAAATATAATTGCATTACATTAAAACAGTTGGGTTTATGGTGTGATATAAATTTGGTTTATTTTTTGCAGATTTATGGTGACTAGGATTTTGTTTTGATCTTGTAGTATATACGGAAATTTCACCACCATCACTTATAATTTGTGAAGCTTTAGCAGCAACATTTGTAAACACAAGGGAATGTTTTCACTTTTTAGTTGGGGAAGAGCAGATGGTTGGGATTAAGGGAATCACTCCTTCGTGTTTAATAATGCAGCAGGGAAGGCAGTGGCAAGCTAACTTTTCACCAAGAGAGAATAATTTTTCAGAGCATCAGCTAGATCTTTGCTAGCTAGAATAGAGCCCCTTCAGATGTGTACCATCTGCATGGGAGTGAGTCACAGCAAAAGATCTAATAATACTTGTAAAATACACTTTGTTCCCAGTGAATTCTATATAGAGAAAATAATCTCTGTATTTGATGGAAGGGACTGATGAGCAGAAATTTGCATCTAAGTAGCAGATTGTCGAATAGAAATTTAGTAAGACCACAGAACAGGCATAGGCCAGGCAATGAAACACAAAAGAAACCAATTTTTAAAAATCAGGTAACTTCCTGGATTCATTATAATGTATAGAAAGACTTAATAGAAATGAAAGATGATTTTCAAATAAATATTATTTAAAAATAATGTAAAGAATTGATTTGTAGTCATCCAGCAAATGTTTGCAAAGAGTAAATTTATAATATGATTTAAAAAAGGATGAATTAATTTTATATTAATATAACAAGATGGAAAACAGAACATTGATAAAACATATTATTATCTAATGCAAACACAAGAAGAGAGAAAAATTGTAGAGAAATAACAGGTTTTTAATGATCAGAGTTTCACTGTAATTGATGATTATTAAAAAGAATTTGATAGACTGAAGATGAAGTGATTCTCTCAACATGTACTCTTTCACATCCACTGCTAAGAAAAATGCAATACAGTTGACCCATTTAATGGTCATCTCAGTTTGGCTCCTTAACACCAAATTCTACAGGAGCTGCTTTCAAGCCATCAGTGATGCGAATAGAAGGAAAAAAATTACTGTAACCACAGACTTAGTAACTGAACAGAACTTTTGCCCACAGGAATCATAGGTTAGAGGATGGAATTTAACTGTTTTTCATGGTTTTGGGTCAACAATACCTTTATATCTAGACCTTCATGGAAACAAGAAAAAGCATATATATTGGTGAGTATGATAGTCTCATACTCATGAATTTAGGTAAGAAATATAACTTGAGAAACTGCCTCAATGATAAATTTTTGAGTTCTGGATTTTTATTATTATTATTATACTTTAAGTTCTGGGGTACATGTGCAGAACGTGCAGGTTTGTTACATAGGTATACATGTGCCATGGTGGTTTGCTGCACCCACCAACGCGTCATCTACATTAGATATTTCTCCTAATGCTATCCCTCCTCTAGCCTCCCAACCTCCGACAGGCCCCAGTGGGTGATGTTCCCCTTTCTGTGTCCATGTATTCTCATTGTTCAATTCCCACTTATGATTGAGAACATGTGTTTAGTTTTCTCTTCTTGTGTTAGTTTGCTGATTTTAAAGGGACTCCAAAGAGCCTGTATTCTGTCTGCCTAAGTGCTTTCCCAGTGGCCAGTGTCATGGTTCCTGCATTTCGGTTGCTATTTTTCCCTATTTTATTTGAACATGGCTTTTATATTTTTCCATTTATTTTGTACATTAATACACATCCTGATCTTAGATGCTTTCCTTTTAATAAGATTTTTTATTTTATTTTATTTTATTATACTTTAAGTTTTAGGGTACATGTGCACAATGTGCAGGTTTGTTACATATGTATACATGTGCCATGTTGGTGTGCTGCACCCATTAACTCGTCATCTAGCATTAGGTATACTTGTTTGAAAGTTTAGGCACTAACGTTAAAGAAAAATCAAAGCAAGATTTTTACTTTTGAATACCATCTCTGTCAATTAAAATTCTAGAGCCTCAATTTTTTCATCTATAAAATGAACAGAGTGTATCAGATTATTATTAGTACAGCAACCATTGCAAAATGTATATCTGTGTTCTTAGCCTTTGTGAGAGATTTCTATCGTCATAGAGCATTTGTTTCCAACTTAAGTGTGAACTAAAGAATTGTTCCTAGTGATCTGCAAATAGAAATGTGTAAGAGGCATTATCGGCACGCAGAATAAAAAGAAACACATAAGACATTGGGTGCTGCTGTGATTCATAGAATAAAAAATTACTACTTTCTAAAATATCTGCTGTAAAATTAAATACATTTGAGCATTTGTCAAGCTTTTCATGTTCCAACATGATAAGGCTTTGAATCTCTACATTATAGGGTACTAAGCAGTAGGAAATCGGATGAGAAAATTTATGTTATCTGTTAACTGGGTCAAGGACTCTTTCCAAATACTTGAAATAATTCTCATTGTCACCCCTTCCCTCATATGAACAGATGGAGGCACAACTGCAGAAACACAATCGAGATTTATTTCTGTTAATCATTAGACAAATTAATATAGGTTAATTGAAGATTAACATTGGAGTTTTATCAGCTGAATATAGTGAGTGAAAAAAAAAGGTAAAGCAGATTATAGTTAAATATCCCAAGGATGTATTTCATATCCTGGCTATTGCTGGTTACATATTTGCTGATGTAAATTCTTAAAAACAGTAATTATAATATCAGTTTTCTCAGCCTTATTCTTTAAAATTATAATCTTTGAAATATTTATATTGTTAACCTGAGAATAGTTCAAAGGTAATTGAAAATATTTAACATAACAAATGGACAGATTCTTAAAGATACTACATTTGCCTGACTCAAAGCCTAAGGAATCTCATGAAGTTAGAACATAACAATTTTTATCCTGAATGAAATTAGGGTTAATAAAATATGAAATTCCCTAGTCTTAATTAACTGAAATTATTTATTTATTTATTTATTTAAACAAAATATTGAAATAGATGTAACAGTGAATTCAAAAGCCATTGAAAATATAATTATATTTTTCATGTTTTGGGGTGGAAAGAGCAGGCAATAATTGTTTTGTTGTCCCTAAAGTAACTGGCAGAGATGTGAATGACTATAATGAAAAATATTTTAGAGAGTTAGAGAGAAAGCAATAGAACCAACTTTATGTGAGTGTGTTATCCAAGTAAAAAGAGAGAGAGAGAATACATTTGTATTGAAGCATTCATTTATGTTAGATAAGGGTATAAGAAATACATATGTGACAGAAATGCAAAAAGACAGAGAGCATATGACACAGTTACCATTCTGTTTTTACTTATTAGTGAGGTTTTTTGTTTTCATAAGTCTACTATATTTAAAAATGCTTTGTTTATAAAATGCTATGACAAAGAGCCTAGCCTCTACATTCTGTTGTATTTGAAATATTATAACCTGGGGCTATGGGTTCATACATTAGCTATGCTTAAAGTGTGCTTGTTACTACTTGGCACCGTCAGTTTTAATGCAGCTTTTGCTGGCTTCAAACACTGAAACAAATAGAAAACAATCAGGCTCTAGTGGCTTGGAAACCTAGACAGCAGCCCAGCTTTCATTTATTAGGACTCTGGGAAAATAAATTTAAAAGGGGAAAATTTTCAAATCTGCTTTCAAGTTACATTTAACAAGTACTTCTCCCAAGGATCTCCAAGCCCTTTTTGCGTGCATTTATTCTGCTAGTTGATAATACAAATTGAAGTAGGAACTAATGCATTTCAGTACTGAAGTGTCTATTCAAATCATTCTTAGGGCTGAACAGAGCACCAGTAGTTACAGATGAAATCAGAGGGTTTCATCTATTAGAGTAGATGGGTATGGAGGTGCCCTAAGGTTCACCTTTAGAAATCTTTGTATTATTTAGTACAGTAGAATATCCACTGGCCTACATTGTCCACTGAAAATCATTTTATGACTTCTGATATTATCCAATTTAAGAACATGGCTAGACTGGCAAAATATGCAAACAGTTCACAGAACTATATTTGAATGCTGTATTATTTCTAATGTTCTGTCAATATTCCAACTATCTTTATCTTATCATTTTGTACGTGGTATTTGGACGAGTAGCTCCTGGAGAAATTAGTCATTCTTCGTAATATAACTGCAAAGGTTAAGCTAATATGTGTAGTATTACTTAGAATTCTTAAAAGGTGGGTGCAAAGTATAGGAATTGTCCTGTTTAAAACCTTTTATATCCTAGATTATAATTGTCCAGTGTAGTAGAAAACTTACAATGAGAATAAAAGATAAAACCTGATACAGTTTCTGAATCTCTTCTGTCACAAGGAGGGACCATATAGTCTAAGTTGTAATAAAAAGTAATATTTAAGTGCAATATGTTATTTATTCTTAAAATAAAAACATTAAACAAGTGTATATCTTCATTAACGAGATTTTAAAGTGTTACACTTTTTTTCTTTTGGTCCAGGAGGCTTTGATTGATAAAAATAATTTCGTCTCTGTGAGATATTAAATACCAAATAATAAAACTAATTTTATGTTGTGCATTTTCTGTTACCAACAATGGACTTGGTCCCTAAAAATCACCATACCAAATATGTCATGTATTTTTTCTTCACCCTAAAGTAAGTTTTGCTACTATTTAAATTAATTACTATATGATTTATCATGACATAATTATTTTATATTTTTGCTTTCAGCATATTTATTTATCTGAAAAATATGTATTATGCATTCTTGGCCCATCTTTCTGTTGGTTTATTTATATATTTTATTTTATTACTTTATTTTATTTTTTGACTGTCAATGTTCAATTAAGAGTAATTCATTTGAGGTATCTTATGAATCATACTACCTACCTTGACCTTAGTTTATCTCTAAGGGAAGAAATTACTAATATACAAAATCAGCCATAAAATATTTCTAGTTAAATTTAGACCATAAATGAAAAAATGTTATAGTTTTTAAATAAATGATTTAACAGTGAATACTTTTAAGGAAATGTATTTAGAAGAAAAAAGTAATAATTACAAAAAACAAAGCATATGCTGTTTAAAAAGTTAACAGCTTTATTGATATAAAATGGTGACTGATATTTTAAAAACTGCATATAATTAATGTGTGCAAATTGATGAGTATGGACATAAGCATTCACCCATGAAACTATCACCACAAGCTATTGAACATACCCATTTTGGTAAGACCACTTACCATGAGATCTACCCTCACAACAAAATTTTCAGTGCACAGTGCAGCCCAGTTAACAAGGCAGATTATAGAACATTTCCATCATCTCAAAAAGTTCTATTGGACAGTGCTGATCTAGAAACATCTGATGATTTCACAGTAGAATTATTGCTCTGTTGCCCATGCTGGAGTGCAGTGGCCCGATCTTAACTCAATTAAACCTCTGCTTCCCAAGTTCAAGCAATCTCCCAACCTTAGCCTCCCTACTAGCCGGAACTACAGGCATGCCCCACCACGCCCAGCTAATTTTTGCATTTTTAGTAGAGACAGGCTTTCGCCATGTTGGCCAGGCTGGTCTCAAACTCCTGACCTCAAGTAATTCACCCACTTTGGCCTCCCAAAATGCTGGGATTACAGGTGTGAGCCATGGCAGCCGGCCTTGAATATATTCTTGATATATAAATAGGAATAAACCAGAAGTTCTGAAAGTTTTCTTTGTAGATTAACTAAGGCCTTCTATTGCTAAGGATTTCAGTAGTATATGTGATATTGTAATGTTTTATGGAGAGGGGAGAAAAGAAAAATATGACACTTAATGAAAGTGCACAAGATTGTCAAGATTAAAAAAATGCTGTATACAATAAGTAAGTACACGTAAGAAGCTTATACAACTCTCAAATCTATATGGTACTTTGAAGTTTAGATACAATCTTAAATTCATCTAAGTCTTCTTAGCACTACAGTCATGCTGTGCAATAATGCAAGATAACTGCCTTTATGTGCTTGTCTAGATAGATTCATATCTTAAATGTTATTTATTAACACAAATCTGAATGTAATGTGCATATTTATCTCTTCGCAAATCACATTTTTATTCTATATCTTGCTTGTTTGTTTCATCTATGTGCCACTGATATTTTAGTTTCCAACTCTCCAGAGATTGTATGATAGTGGAAAACAAATTATCAAAGCAATTAAAATGTTTTGATACCTATAGGAGCTAGAAATCTGTGCTTTTAAAATTAATTATTAGTTTCAACTCCTGAAATGTAGACAATACTAAAGGTAATCAAGCTGTTAGAATGTACTATTTTGAATCAGAGGACATTTTTGTCAAAAGTGCATCTTAAAATCTGAAGCTATTGGAAAGTCTTATTAAACTTCGATAAAAACAAAACATTTAAAAGCAGCAAAGTTGATTAGACAGTTTTCCCCTCTTTGATGAAAATGGTACAAACCTAATCAATATCTGCTAAAACTTAAATAATAGTACTTTTCATAATGTGTTTAATATTGGTTAAAACCATCTTTTAGTTATATATTTTGGAAAATGTGATTAAATGCTGACCAACTCTAAACATTTATTTTAAAATTCTTGTAATAGAGGTTTTTAATGAATGAAAATTACAGATTCTCTTTTTGTAACATTTCTTTAGCAATTTTACATATAGCTTTAGATTACATCCTAAATCTAGCCATGTTGGTCTTTGCTGCCATGGGAGACTCATTTCAGGAGACTTCAGACCGACACGGTGGTAAATATTTGTCATTCTTTCTCCCATTCCAGACATTGTGCTAACTAAAAAATAAAATAAAAATAAAAAACACAAGATCATCATTTTTGAAAAAGCATTTACAAAAAAGCATCTAAACTTTACTTCAGCATTCAGGCTGGGCTTTAATCTTGCTTAGAAACTCTCATACACCTTCCCATCAAGCCAAACACTGGAGACCTAGAAACGTGAAGAAACCCTGAAATGTATCTAAAAATAAGCACTCTTTTTCAGGTTCCTCCAGGATAGTAAAATCTCTGGAATTTCTAGGATTAATAATATTTAGAATTTTTTAGATATCATTTATTTCTATATTTTGTGTAAATTAATAGTGTCATCCACTTGTTTCATTGTAAAGTCTGTTCCAATATTCTACGTATGGAGGAAGATTTCATTGGTTTTAACCATAATTTACTGTGAAAAAAGAACAGGAAGGTACAGAGAAAACACCACTGCTCTGGTAATAATAAGACTTAAAAGCTAGTACTCAATATTGTGTCTACTTAATTGGTCATTTAAAAAAAAATATTTACTGACATCCACTGTGTGTCAGAACCTCTGTTCTAGGTGCTGATAATATAGCAGAAAAAAAATTTTAAATTCCAGTATTCAGTGAATTTACATTCTAGTAATTATTGTGGAAATTGTTTAATTGCCATTCTCTATATTTATCTATATAGTGTATACATTTGCATACCATGCATATACTTAAGTGTGTGTGTGTGTATATATATATATATATAGATTTATTATACACACATAGACATATATATCTTTTAGTCAAAAGGCATTATCAATATATATAGAAGAACTCTGTAGTATGAAAGAAAATGCCCATTTTATTTGTTACCTTTTACTAATCAAATCATTTATAACCCTTAAGAATTATATTGAATTTTCTAATTCAAGTACTGAGTTGCACAAAGAACTATTGTCTCTAGATTTCCTGTTGTGTAACCCATGAAGAAATTGACCTTTCTTTATTGTCATATTGCATTTAAGGAAGATACCTGGTTTCTTATCCACCCACAGTTTATTTTTGGCAATGCAACCTATTCATTTTCTTTTACCCTTTGATCGATACCTTTTAGAACTACTTAATATAAAAGTTACATTTGTTACAGCACAAAGTTAGCAATTACTCAGCCTGAAGGCCACTATTAGGTCTTGGCTGTCTTTTAAGGACTGAATTATAACATTATATGATGGTCGGAATTACAGTCTTTTAACCTGGAATGGATCTTAAAGATCGTCTGGTACTATCCTATCATTTCACATAGTGTTAGCCATCGAGCACAAGGTCACACAGCTGGTAGCAGAGCTCGAACTCTGTTCAGAGCCCAAAACTGTTTCTGCATTCTTTCTGTCATTAAAATCCTCATTTATATGAATTAATATTATTCCTTCTTATTTCATTTTCCCTGTTCCTAATGTTAACAATAAAAGTGTACTGCCTTGGCAAAGCTTGTGAGGCATTCTTACCGTGCCAATACCCACAATTATTTTCTGTTAAAATTATATCCCCTAAAAATCACATGCTTTGAAAAAAATTAAAAATTAAAAAATTATGTCAAATTTATAAAAATTTCAATTGATTTTAGATGTATAGGATTCTAGTAAAAATAAATGTTCTAGAGAACAGCAAAAATAACGATAAATTTTAAAAAATATTTTAGGAAATTTATAATTGACCCTCTTAGATATCAGTATTTGAGTCTAATGCACAGAAAGAATTAGCTAAATTTAAAAATTTATTTTTAACCTGCCTAGAAATTATGTACATAGTTAATATTAAGCCTTAAAACATTTTAGGACAACTCTGGAAATTTTAAAGAAGTTTGTCTATTTCCTTAGATAAAATGAAATAAAGTGTTTTTATTCAAAAATGTAGCACAAACATCTTAAAGCTAAGAAATATTTAAGTTTTGGTGCAATTCCATGGGAAAGTAAAGCTGATTTATTTGATATATTAATAATATTTCAACTTTCAAATACAAATTATTGCTTAGTATCTTGCTGATCTATATCTTTTGCCATTTTAAGCATTTTTATATGTTTGAATGCCAAAATGTACCCTGCCTCTCCACAATAATCATAGAATTCTAGATACAGAAAGAACTTAGAAAATCATAGATTAATAGGCTTTTTCAGGTGAACTAGCTGAGGTCCTAAGAGATTCAATGAAGCACCTATAACTTTGTAAAGTCCATTAGGGTAGGAACAATATCTGTCTTGTTCGTCAGCACTTTGCCTGCCTGCAATAGAGTAAGTGCTCATTAAATATTTGTAACATGCTGTATGAATTAGTAAATTAATTACACCTAATGCTAAGATGTGTTAAACTAATGAAGGTACTTCATCTGATTCCAGAGACTTGATAGCAAGAATGTTTATGTCTTTTAAGTTTGAGATTCTTACAACTTTGAACATGAGGTATGCATTCAAAAGTTGATCAGAAGTAAGGATGCTGAAACAAGGAAGTTTTCTAAATGCCTCGTGATTCACAGTATGCTTTTAAGTTGTTTTTTTTTTAAATACGGTTAACTTTCAGAATACAACACATGATAAGATACAAACATAATACAAAAATGGCTTTTGAATCAGTATGAATTGTTTTAAAATTTTCTGTACATCAGTATCATGATATACTTACTCTATTAATACAGATTATTTGGTGTTGACTCTATAGAAATGTAAAGATTAGTCTTGTCAAACCAATTCAATTTACTTGTAAGAAGGAATGGAGGGGTAGTTAGATGGGGGAAGAATAGCAACGATTATATCTTTGACTTTGAACTAAGTTCTACAGATATGATCATTGAAATTTGAGAAAACGAGAACACAGGAGATGTAAAGATAGAAAGATAGATAAATACCATATAAATCATTGCCTCCATATGTATATATTCATATACATACCTATATTTATATATATATCTGCCTATCTTTTTATGTTAAGTGCAAAAAGTAATTAATATACTGTGCATTTATATATGTGTGTATATATATATATATATATATATATATATATATATATATATATACACACACACACACACATACATGTCATTTGCTCCCAAGTGGAATACATGAGGAATGAGATTGTGTGATGATGTTTGCTATAGTGAATATTTGGAAATATTATTTTTGAAATATGGCTATACATGAAATATTAATTGTATATCAATTTATTTTCTCTTTTACTGAGAGAAAATTTTTATAATTTTTATCAGATGGGTATTTATATTAAATTCATTGAAAATGACCCATTATATTGTAATCACAATACATTAACTCAATGAACTACTGTTTTTCAAAATTTCTGAATGTGTAACATCACATAAAATATGAAAAATCTTTGTTTCATAGAGTGTTTTTGTTTTTGTCATTTAAATACTTCCCATTTTAGATATACTCAAAGATCCTATTTAAAATCATCATATTTGTATAGAACAAAATCTTTACTCAGCTTTTTCTTTTTTAGGCTAATTTACACTATTTTTAAAAAAACGTTTATATTCAGGTTAATGAGTATTTGAATCTGTTTATCTGTTTGTTTCTTTTTTTTTCCTAGCCCATATCCCTATGCTAATTCTATACTTCTCTTTTGGAATTCTTTCTTTGTGTTCATTTACTATGCATTTGCAAGAGTGATTTTCATGAGCTTGTTGTTTATATTACTTCATATTCTCTTCTTAATTGTGTCTGTTTTTCGTTTCTGTTTCTTTTAGTCATTATCCTCACATCTTCTATTTATGTATTTCAATTTATTTAAACAGAAGTGTGATTTAAAATAGATGCAAAGTCAGCTGAAATCTTAGAGCATCCAGAAGAAATTCAAAGCAAATCAAATTAAAACTGTCAGCAGGAAAAACCTTCAAACATTGTTCCGTTCAGTGGCTACTATTGTAATTTAAACTTTCACTTAGAATTAAAAGCAATTATCATTAAAGACATTCAATTTTTTACTTTTTCTTCAAATATAGCAATGTAGGTCTGTTGATGCTACAAAGGTAAATTTGTTTAAGAGTGTACGGTTGAAGCTTTAAATAAAATGAGGTTATTTAAAACCATTTTAATTTATGTTCTAATGCTCCCTGTTTTTAGAATGTGTTTGAGAACTTAATTATCTTGATGACTACCATAAAGTTATTGGACAAATTACCCTAGGAAATATAAGAACGTACTTTAGGACCAAAATTAACTAGCTTTTACTCAATGGAGTTCTAGCAAGCAAACTTCATTTTGAACGAAGTAACTAAATATTGACTGAGAGAAAAATGGAAAAGATTACGACTCTTCACCCATTCTTGCAAAATGAGACTTAATCTCTACATTCCATATCCAATAACAAATCCAACAACTTGCGACATTGTCTTTTTCTAGATTTGTTATTTTCTGTAAGATTTTAGGTTATTTGTTCATTGAAGACCAAAAAGGCCCTAGGTCTCTCTTAGTGTGGTTGCTGGGCATGTGATTTTAAAATAGGACATGTATATTAGAATGCTTATACCTGTATTTGATTCTTATACACCCACTTAATCTAAGTTCAAAATATAATCCTGCAAAATACTTTGGTGAAAGTGTCATCAACAGTAGTATCAAGATGAGCATAGGCAGTTTTAGGTGTGACATTTTGCAATTAATACTGGCAGAGGTGTTCATTCATGTTAACTCTTCAGTACAATTTGCATTTGACCCTTGACAGTGCTCTCTCTTACATTTCAAAATTCATTGTTTTCAAGGAATTGTTTTCGTTTGACCCCCTTAGTTTCCAGTATCACTTTTGCCGTATTTGTTCATTTTTATTTTTGCTTTTTTGGTGGTTTTTCTATGTTAGTACTGACTTACACAAGCAGAGTTAAGCAAACCCCCTATGTACACCAGGTTATAGTGTCTTTCATATCTCTAATCATGTTACTTTAAACACTGTGTTCATGTCCCTTTCTCTACTAGCTGATAAATTTCTTAATGTCAAGAACAGCATTTTATTCATGTTTGTATTCTTAGCACCTAGCTCAATGTCTGTCAGATAATGGATCTGAAATATACATTTAAAACCTGAATACATGAAGGAGTAGAAGAATCTCCTACTTTGACTGAACCATGTTGAGACTCTCTTTCCAGGCTGCATTTCTTCTAACATGCCATTGACAATTCTTTTTTTGAAGGGGAGAAGGGATACAGTTGGTAGTTCTTGTTTTGAGTTACCAGTTTAACTACTTAACTTTGCAAACAAGGTTTTTTTAAGTGAACACTCCTTTTAATTTTTGTTTTTTTCTCAACAAGTTGTTAGCCTACACATTTGTTTTTCCTCAATTTCAAGAAGAAACTTATGTGTCAGCTCACAGGACTCTATCAGCCTTCTTGAATAATTCCCTCAGGAACTTGCTTGCTGTTACTGAACTAAACATTCTTTTTTTTCCCCAGGGGAAACAAAGGGGCTATTCACTGCTGTTAGTCCCTAACCTGTTTTCACTGGCTCAGCACCTGTCTCCCAGGCAGATCAATTTTAGTTTTATTAGTACCTTCTGTGTTTCCTCTGTACTTGGTAGAGATCTGGTGTCATTTCACCTTGAGAAGTTGAATTTCAAGCCGTATACTTAAATATATAATTTAAAAGTTCTCTGCATATTTTAAAATTCCAAATAAATCAGTACAACCACAGATAGACTAGACTTCATAAGGACTTTCTTCTCATCAAGAAAACAATTTCTACTAACCTGTTTTGCTAACTTCTTATCTTCATTTTTAATAAGGAAATGTATCCTTTAAAGTATTTTAAAGCTATCACTTGGTTCATCTTTCTCTTTGCATTTTTAGTCATGAAAATATTGAAATTTGAAAAATATTTTCCTAAACCATTTCCATATATTCATTTAAATAAATTAGAATCTTATTATACATACTCAGAACGTGTTGTTTTACTTTTGTTTCTCTGGCTTCCCTTCTGTCATTCACCTAATCATCATATGTAGGAGAGAAAGGATAAATAATGTATTCTTTGTGTACACATAATTTACTTGATGTTTTACCTTTATTATAAGCTTTTAAATATATTATTTTATTTAATCTTAATGCTTACACAGGGAACTAGGCAGAGTAAATGAAAATATTTACACTGGAGGGACTTTGCTCAGAGAGATCAGTAACGTGACTATCATAAGGTTCTGAGGCTTAATCTCATCTGATCACATATCTGATGCTCATTCCCACTACCTGATACTGTATCTACCACCTAATCCTTTGATTCTTTCACTTATGGGGGTAATTCCTAAAGACTACAAGTAGCAAATGTGAATTATAAACCATACATCACGACATGCTGTATTAGTTTACCCATGTGAAACTCTGTGTTTGTGTGTGTGTTTCTAAAACCTGGTTGTGATATAAATGTTGAATCTTACAATTGCTACACAACAATGAACTAGGTGCCACTGAACAAAAAATCTCAGATGAATGGCTGATGATTTATGCTTTCAGAAAATTTAGTGAATATTTACCAACTCCTGGGATCAATCTCATATCATAGCAAAGATCAATGCTAGCATCTTTTTGTTGTCTGTTAATTAATTTCTGCCGAGATTCTACAATTCTTATATATCCTCCTAGAGTAATCCATCATCATGGTAAGGCAAAAGGAATTCAATCCATCACTGCTGGATTCTGATAGAGGGCTTAGGGGGAATGCGAGTCATCCCCCAGCAGTAATCAAACAGCTGTGATACATGCCACTTTACGCTTATATCATCATATAATAGATGGCTTTCCTCTTCATGGAAGCTTGCCTTAAAATTTTCAGACAGATGGACCCTGATGCAAAGGTTTCATTTTGTGGAATTTAAGGCTGTGAACTAGTTATTGACAAATACTACATCATCAGTTCCAGTTGAAGACACAGCCTAATAAGTAGAACATTGGCACTAATCCTTATTTAATCAGCCTTAAAATGGTAATTTCAAATTAATGAGGGCACAGGGAATAGATTTTGTACTCATAAAGTGCTTCTAAAAATACCAGTAATATGTGTATAGAACGCAAGGGTGAAATTAAAGAGCTCTCAGCATGTATAATAAGAAGAATAAACTATAAAGTGCATAACAAAAGTACAACTGAAGGACCTCACAAAACTCAGAAAGGCAAATTCCTGTGGTCTTTCCAGTAACACATATTCATGTTTGTATTCTCCAGACTTAATCCATGGAACAAATATTCACAGGATTAAGAGAGAAGAATTTTTAGAATACTAGTAAAAGTGCCATTAAGAACTTGGGTCATTTCTGAAGACAGTGTAATCAGAGCGTGAATAAGCTCTAATGTTGAAAGGGATTTTAGGGCTCGTATGGTCCAATCCATAAGTTGATATATAAGCAGGATAAGACAGTTTAAACTATACAGAGTGAGCTGCTGGGTGAAAATTAGAATCCAGACCTCCAACTGTTCAGTGTTTTCTATGTTCCTGTGCTGCCTCCTCAAACATAGGTCCATGAAGAAACAGTTGGCTTGTATCCGCCTCATGAGGAATCATAGCTCTATCCTCTTTATTTAGATGATTCACCACCTGTAATTGTAAGAAAAGCTGGGATGCAGGCAAATTTGTCTTTTGACACATCTTTCCAATTTTTCTGTCTCCTCTGTGACAAGATCTCCAGAACACATCCTTTACACTCTCCTTAAGTCTTTGCTAAACCTGATTTCAGTAAAGAGTCAATGTACAGTAACATGTGTTAATTAGGAAACTCTTTCCTGAATAAAGAACCTCAAATATAAAATCTCATGGCCACAGTATGAGTCTAATTGTGAATGCTTAATAGTTAAAGAAGACGTGAATAAGAAAGTTCATGAAGCAGATTTGCCTTCTTTCCTGTGTTTCAAGCAGAGTCCTCATAGGCACAATTGGATATTTGACTTTAATAATAATAGCAGCAGCAACAAATACAACGAATAGAGACTGAGCATGCATGTCTGCATGGTACTAAGGGCATTATAGACATTAACCTTTCTTCTTGGAACAACCTTTTTTATTATTATTAATCCCTACTTTATATAAAAGGAAATTGTGGAGCTGTTAACTCAATGAGTGTCTTAAAGCTAGTGAGTATCAGTAGAATTTGAACTCTCATTTTTTTGATTTAAAAGTCTCCTTTCAATTATTCTAATGCACTACTTACTACCCCACACTGCTTTCCACATGCTAGAATTCTCTAGTTCACACTTGCTCCCTTCATATTCCCAAACAACTGGAATCTAATAATTGCACAGCAAAATTGGAGTGCCCGCAGCTTAGTTTCTATAGAATCAGAGTTTTAATATATCTCACTTTGGAAGTAATATACTATAAAAACATATGCATATTAGAATATTGGTATATTTACTAAATTGTTTTGGCCAAGAATCACACCAAAAAGAGGATAGAATATCTACACTCCTAGAAGCAGGTTGGGGCAAAGTGCCTTAAAAATATTGCGGAGTGCTACAGGCAATCAGAGAATCAGGATACCCATTTCTCAGAAGGGTGATCAATGAAGACTTCAGGGAACAGTTTATATCTGAGCTGGACCTTAATGTATGAGTAGGATGTTGAAGAGTTGAGGTGGAAGAACGGAATGTGAAGAAAAGGCAAAGTAATGGAAGCGAGTGGAAGAATATATAAAATATCCTGGCTTTTTTTTTCTTCTGAGTATCTTTGAAAAATACTGTCAATTTGAGCTACAAAGATTGGATCTGCATTATTGGAAGTGAAGCATATTTAAGATATTTGGTCTTCAGGGTATTATTTTCAAATTATTAGCAGTGTGAAAGTTCAATGGCTGATTAGAGAAAGATAAGAGATGGAGAAGTCAATTAGAAGAAGATACCATTATTGACATTGTATAAGTATTTCAATTATTTATATGACAAACCTAAAAACTGGATGCCAGTTTATTTTACAGATGAAAACATTAAAATTTATAGAGCTAGATAGCTTGCCCAACATCATAAAACTTTTAAAAAAGAGAAAAAAAATTAAGAGGTTTAAGAAGATGAAGACATTAACATTTGATAATTAAATGGTCATTTGCAGGCAATTTCTTCAGTAAAGAATAAAGACACATAGCAAAGAATGCAAGAATACAACTCTAATTTCATAAATGATGAATAAATACAATGTATGATGGCAGGGTTACATAATTTCAGAGAATCTTGTGTGCTCATGAAGACAGTATGAAAATGGCTGGGACAGTGTGCAGGGGAGAAATGGGTAAACTAAGCAGGCATCACAGGGAAGTTAAGGAGTAGTAACAGCTTAAAGAGAGATGCTTAGAGAATCACAGGAATTTTGAAGAACTAGTAATACTGTGAAGCTGCATTGTATAATTTAAAATAACTAAAGAGTGGAATTAGAATGTTCCTAACAGAAACTAGTGAGAAATGCTTGAGGTGATGGATTCTCCAATCACCCTGAATTGATTATTACACATTATATGTCTGTATCACAACATTACCTATACCCCATAAATATATACACCTGCGTATTCAAAATAATTATTTTTTTTTTTTCTCTGAGATGGAATCTTGCTCTATCACCCAGGCTGGAGTGCAGTGGCGCCATCTCAGCTCACTGCAGCCTCCACCTCCTGGGTTCAAACAGTTCTCCTGCCTCAGCCTCCCGATTAGCTGAGATTACAGGCACAGGCCACCATGCCCAGCTAATTTTTGTATTTTTAGTAGAGACGGGGTTTCACCATGTTGGCCAGGCTGGTCTCAAACTCCTGACCTCGTGATCTGCTTGCCTTGACCTCCCAAAGTGCTGGGATTACAGGTGTGAGCCACCACGCCCGGCCAATAATTAGAAATTTAAAAAAATATACATTTATTAGAAACAAATAATTTCTGAATTCATTACCTCGTAATTAGATTAATAGTAAAAAATGTGATATAATGTTTATCCTAGCCACTGTGTATAGAGAAGCTTAAACTGACTAATTTGTCAATATTCTATTTTCAAACCGTGTGGGCATACAATGATGTGTTTAGTTAATTTTAGTTTACATTTTCTTAATTTATTAGTTGCCTAATGAAACCTTATTTTAAAAATAAAATTTAAATCTTTAAATACATATACACTCATGTGTTGCAAAGTATTATATTTTCAACTAATATCACAGACTTGAAGGAATATTCTCTTAAATAGGGCCACCTATTAATTAAGTCGCTATGGGTAGATTTTGTAAAAAGCATCACTCCTCATCAATTCTGAATTTTTTTTAGCTTAGAGATGTTAGATTTAATAGTCACACTGCAAAAGGCTTATTTTTGTTTACATTCTATTTCTTTAAACTTTGTGGTACATTTTAAGAACCATATTACCTGGCTTTTGAAACTCCAGTGGTGATAAATAAGTCAATTACAATTGCTAAATTTTGTTAATTCAAGACAGACACAAGTGAATGGCATTGTAAAATCGATGGGATAAAGCATCCAAACCTACCAGCAATGTCAGCTTAAAAAGGCAAGGTAATTCAGTTGTAAGTTATTATTTAAGAGACTTCAAGGCTTATTTTATGCTGATCAAACTAATTATACACTGTAGAATACTCTCTAGGATAATTGAAGCTCTATCTTATCACTAAGATTTCTCTTGTCCTGTTGTTTTGTTAGTAGTAAAATTTAATTTGAAGTTACCTTAGGGTAAGTAATAATCTAGTAAACAAGAAAGGCCCAAATGAGAGGGAAAAGAAAACCCAGCAGAGGCACATATTTAAAAGCTTTCTTGGTTTTCTTCAATTTTTCTCAGCATACCTGAGTTTGGAAATAAGTAAGATTCAAGTCAAATCAAGTCCATATTTTCCAAACAACTTATCTAAATTATGATTAAAAATATTTACAATTTTTTTGTTCTACTTGAATTTTTTTGTTTTCATTGTCACTCTGTTCTCCAGGTTTCCTCCATGTTTTTTCAATAGCTGTTTCTCAGGTACTACTTTGCATCTCCACACTAGCAGATCTCCCATTTCCTCACCTGCTTGTGAGAGAAGCCCACTCCTGGTGTACCAAATATAGGAATTGCTCCAGATTCTCATGAGTGTGAAGAATGATTCCCTAAGATTTGAGTTCTTGTACTCCGAGAGGTGTTAGGGGCATGACATGCACCTGTCTAGTCCATGTAATTGCTCAAAAAATATTCCTGGACCTATATTAACTACAAAATAATACTATAGTATATTTGACTTTATATCTTGACTTGAAGTGTCATATTTTGTTATGTTCCTTAAGCAGGAAGAACAGTATATGATAGATTGAGACCATAACTCTTGGTGTTTTGGGGTAAATTTACGTTCCTCATTCTATACCGTTATTTCTTCTTGTGGTGTTACTGGTGGAGATTCTAAATTCTTACGGAAACTAGCACAGTGATAGGTACAGGATAGATTCTCAAAAATGTGTCAACTCTGTTGAATTAAAAAGCCTTCAGTATAGATTTACAGCCTGGAATTTGAATAGTAGCACAAATGGTTCAATTGCTTTTAAGGCTAAAATAACTTATTTTGAATAAGGAATGGGGAGATCCATAATTCTACTTTATAATCAGGTATACTTGAAGATTATGTCTACACAGCCAAGGTGTTGTTTTATTAGCTGTTGCTGTTTATAATGTTCAGTCAGCAGTGCTGGTAAAAACTGAGGTTCTAAGTTCATAATCGTAATGTGTTTTAAAAGATGATTATTATAATGGGGATTTAATTTTTAGAAGGAAAATCAAAAGAATAGGTGCAGTAATCATAGAGGAAGAAGGAATAGTCTTTGTGCGTATGTGTTAGCAAAGAGGCACTACATTTTTTTTTAAACTCCACGATAGAACTGTACACATTTGTAAAATAATATTTCCGCTGTATTTATGACATGTTTAGTCCCCAAATCTGATTTAATTATTTCACGATGGTAAAAATGATATGTATATTTTATTTGGAAATTATTGATAGTTTTAAACAGGGCTCAAAGTGGGCTCTCTAATGAACCATAAGGATCTATCTATTTTATAATTACCTATTTGTCTGTAATTTAATGACTTCGAAGAGTAAATAAAACTTTCTGAAACAATCTTTATGCAAAAGATCTTTGAATGCAGTCAAATGGTAGTGGTCCCCATGATGTAACTATTTGAATTCAAAGTATCTAAATACATTGTGAATACCTATGCTTTTTAATATAATTGATAAAATGTTTCATTTGGCTGTTTTTAAAAAATTATTCTTTTAAACAATTAATGGTGTCAAAAATAGTTTATATTAAATAGTTGATATTAATAGAGTCACTAGACAGTTGATTAAAATAAAAGCAAACCAGGATAATGAGTGAAAATGATCAATATTCAAAATGAATAAACAATAATAATAGCAGCTATTCTGAGTGCTTACGATGCACCAGGCACTCTCATAAATGTTGTATATTTATTTGAATTGCATGGAAACTAAGGTATAATAATATTACAGAATCATCACCAAGCAAACACAGATAGTAAGAAGTATAATTGAGATTAAACTCAAATAATCTCACTGTACTGACTATGCTCTTAACCACTTCATTATGGCAACGTGCAATAAATGTGTTAAGTACAACTTTAAATTCTTTTTCAAATTCAAACTTAGGATTGTTAAGGTGACATATCAAAAAATTACAATATAATTAATGTATTAACTTTGAAAATGATTATGAATATCTTTTTATTTGATTTTTGAACAGAACAACTTGATATAGACTGTTTCATTTATTTTTACATGTCACATCCTCATAAGTGTTGAAACTTGAGAGAATATCATATACTCCGTTCTCTGGATGTCAGGATGTAACATCAGTGGAGGACAGATTAATTGACTGAAACCATAACTTGCTTTGGAATTGTCAGACACTACTGATCATGTATATCTGAAAATTCATTTGTTGCCATATGAAACTAATAGAATACAAAGAAAAGAAGAAACAAATTTATGAGTAACCAAAAAAGATAATATCAGGGATTAAGAAAAGTCTCATGCACAATGCTTTTCAACATGAATTTTGTGTTTTGAATAAAGTGAAAATCATTTCCTTTAGTTAAATATTAAAGTGTTTAATCATTAGTCATGTATACTGCAAATGTTTTTTTTTTTCTGTGAAAGCATACATTTTTATCTCTGATGATGCTGGTGCTAATGTTAGCAATATGCCTCCATTAATGGTAAAATTATTATTTTGGCAACCTTCTAGAACATTGCCAATAATTTATTAATAACATATCTCAGCATATCACGAAATTTTCAATTTATCTTGGGTTAGTTGAGCACCTGTTTTAAAATAAAATGTGAAAAGTGATGTATAAATAAATAACACCACCCCTGCCTCAAGTTGAACTCATGAGAAAGAGTGGAGGGAAAGACCTGCTAATAACAGGAGCTAATAAACTCTTAAACATATAGCAATAATTTAAAAGTGTTACTGAACAAACAAGTTGGGATCAATTAATTCTGTCTGAGAGTGAAGAGCTTTGGAGGCTTAACATAGACCCACTGTCCCTGAACTATTCCTTGGAAGATGAGTATCAACTCACCAGAGGAATACTTTTTTTTTTTTTTTTCAGAGAATGAAGAGATTTGGTAAGCCGTTGAAGCACACACAATTTGGAACATTGAAATGGGAAGAAAATGTGTGTGTGTTGAGGGACACATGTACTAAATTAGAGAGCAGAAAGATGTGGCAGCTTCATTTCTAAAGGGCCAAAGGATGTCTCAGATAAGAAGACAGGTTGGAGGCAAAGGTTAAGAGTAGAGAAGAGGCCCTAAGTTTGGGGCCAAAATTAACTTCTCCAGGAAGAAGAAATAGGTTTCATTCCTAGTCATTCACAAATAACCAGGACAGAAAGGGAAGGTGAATAGATATTTAGGTTATAGTTAAGGAGCTGCATATCCATAGGAAATGGAATTAAGTATAGCAATGAAATTAAGATGGATTCACATGATGCATTCAAGAAACTAATAACAGTGTATATTGATAAGTTTAAAACACCAAAATTGGTTTAAAATTATTTCTTATCTTTTATATTTTAGGGAAAATATCTCTTTTTCAATGCAAGGAATAAGAATTATAACAACAATAGCAACTAACAGTTTGTGATTCCTGTGTAAGCACATAGCCACACTTAGCACTGTGCTAACAATGTTCTTTCCACAGATTTCCATGCATTGCAAAAGTTGAAATGTTTCCTAAATTATAGTGTCTGGGTTTCTAATTCCATTTTCTTGCAAAATAAGGATTATAAATTGTGTTTAAATAGTTGTATTTTTATATTTTATTGTTAAAGCTATTACTGATACTATTAATAATGGAAATTTGAACAGGGATGCTCCAATACAGTTAGTAATATTTGCACGTTTGGAATCATTCATACATACCTTAGCAGTTACTTAAATATAGAACTGAAAATATATTAGTTAAGTATGTTAGGTTTACAAAACATATTAGCAGATGTAAGATTTAAATACCATTATGCCAAATTTTAAAACTTTTGAAAAAAAGCTTAAAAAGTTACTCTGGTAATCTGAAAACAATTTATTATGATTTGATTTAACTTAGTAATATGTTTGTCATGAGGGACATTTATTATAGCATAATAGATACAAAATAGGAACAAAAATTTTTAAATAGCTGTGTTGGCAGCAAATTTTTGTTATTACCATGATAGTTAAATCAGTATATTAGTCACCTATTTATGTGTATTTACCATAAAATAACTGACTTATTAAATTGAAATCAAGTCATTTTTTGTTTCTTAATTTTCACTGTGACCACTCATCCTGTTGATTACATGTTTAAGTACACTTCTAATTGATCATGGAGTCTTTTGCTATAAATTACAGAGATGGAATGACAGATTTCACAGGTTGGTTGTGGCTTAATGACAAATTTCACAGTTTGAATAGAAAAAGAATATAAACACACACAGGAATAAGGTAGTTACATGGATTCATGATGTGAAAAGCTCTTTTCTAATGTATGCAGACACATTGATAAATTGAATGTGAGAATACAAAGAGAATATTAAGCAGTGAGGAAATCAAAGAATATGCTATCCATTACATCTATCTAAACTTTTATTTTAAAATAAAAGATATATACAGGATTTGATGTTTAAAATTCACAACATATTAATCTAGTATAACCTAATAAAAACATACAGCTTTAATAAATGAAATGTTATTGAGTAAAAAATTGGAATTGCATTACATTTTTCTCATATGTATGGTATTTTCCACCCATTATGCCTTTGATTCTGAAAGGAACCAATTCGTTGCAAAAACATAGCACTTTTCAAAACCACAGCATCCAGGTTTTCATAAAGGACTGTCAGGTTAATAGACACCTGAATATTAAAGAGAGGTCTTTGAGTGATGGGCAAACTTCTAAGTTTTAATGATCACGATACCAGGGTTCACGAGGCAGAATTTTGATTTTCTTTTGGTTTGAGAATGACACTTTATAATAATAACTAATATAATTTTTAATTTATTTTTATACCTTGTTTTGTGGATCTTTAAAATTAGTCAGAAAATATGAAATGGTAGCTAACTCAAAACTAGTGACTATAAGAAGAAAATTTGGAAGATTTTTAAAAATCATGTTAATATAATGCATTTTTATTAATATCAGAAAATTAGTAACATAGTATTTAAGTGATTAGTCTCTGAAGTCTGACAGGCCAGGGTTCAAATGCTTCCAAGCAATGAGCCCTTAGACAAGTTTTATAAATTCACTAAGAATCAGTTTTTCTGTATCTAAAAATGACGGAACGGTAGTTTTGCACGTAATAAATAAATGTTCATTTATTTAATGTATTTTCTTACTATTATTAGTAAAAATTGTATTTATGTAGCTGAGTGATGTACTTGTAAGAATGTTTGTTGCAAAATTATTTATATTAACCAAATGTTGAAAACAATTAAAATATAAAGATAATAATACACAGACAATAAAAAGATTAGTAAATCCAAGTGTATTGGTATGAAGATATATTCACCACATACTGTTTGATAAAGACACAGGTCTAAAAGTGTGTGTTTGATGATTCAATTTTTTAATAGAAGTATAATTGTGCATTAAAAATGTCTGAAAAGTAACCACAAATATTAGTAATCCTCTTTAAATGGCATTACAGAAGACCTTATTTTACTTTATATATCTCCTTATTCTGATTTTTTATAGTTAATATGTAGTTTTGTAGTGAATATATATACACATATATATACTAGTTAAAATAAGTAAACTTCATTTGCAGAGAAAAATAATTATGATGTTTCAGTTTAAAAATTAATATAATGGGTTTAAAAAGAATTTAGGTAGTCCTTAAGTAATCCAAGTTGGTCGGCCAAATAACGAAGCTTAAGATAAAATAATATTGTTTTGATTATATTCTCCCCCTTTCACTTAAAAATGCCTTCTTTGTACATTTGTGTGCTCTTTACCTCGTTAATTTTAGTGGCTACTAATGCCAACAATTTTCAGGAATTGTGTGATGCACTAATGACTTGTTCATTATTTCTTACGTTGGCCCCTATGTCTATATAATTCCAAAGTCCTACACACATGCAAACCTCTCATGTAAAGACAGTGTTGACTCTATGAGCCTCTAAAGTATCCAGATGTTGAAAATTTGTGTGGATTTGTAGCTACATTGCTACTTCACTTTTTGGTTGTTTGCTGTTATTGTGTTGACATATTCAGACAGTGCATAACAGGCCCTTTTATTTCTAGGTGAACTTAGTGTCTTTTCATATAAATGTTAAAATAACTAATTTCATTCTAAAATTCACTCAGAGCCACTTGTAGCCTTTGATATAGCTGTCCTTTAGCTAAATGAAGTGTGTAGCATTGCTTTACCCACTCACTGTTGCTGGTAAAATGTAAAACTGAATGTGCATGTGTATATCAAACTACCTGTTAGTATGTGAGCTTTTATGATATTCTCATACTCTTTATTTATTTATAATTTCATATTTGCTATTTGTTTACTCTTTGGCCTAGATGTCTTTGTGCCTATGGATATTCCTCTTAAGTACTACAGAAAGAGAGAGAGAGAGAGAGAAAGAGAGAAAGAAAAGAAAGAAAGAGAAAGAAAGAAAAAGGAAGGAAGGAAACACATAGTTCTCAGTTTTCCAGGATTAATATTTTCCAGAAAATTTTGCTATGTTTCAGTGAATCTTTGTGACTTTGTCAACCTTTGTAATCTGTCTAGCCAGTTGTTTTCCATATTGTGGAATTTCAGTGGTCCTCAGATATCCAACATGGGTTTAAAACAATAATTATTTATTCAAACCAAACAAAATAATCTCAATGAGGCAAAATGGAATCAAATTCATTCTAGGTATTGTAAATCCTTACTGACCCTATTTCTATTCCTAACCACATAAATTTCTTTTCTTTCCTTTTATTGTCTTTCTTTCCTTTCATTTGTCTTTCTTTCCTTATTTCTTTTATTAGGGAAATGAATAATGATGACACTTTTCTAGGCTAAGATAATCCTTTAAACTCAGGATAGCATCATGTGAATTGGTATTGCAAATGACATGGATGCAAATTGGCATTTGCATTACCAATTCACATGATGCTGCCCTATAGATCTGAAGACCTCACAGATTCTAAAAGTCCTTAATATTCACAGGTAGTCACATGCTGGGAAGATGGTCTTCAGATAATTTATACTTTTATAGAGCATAAAATATGAGTTGGGTTGCTATCCATTTCATTTCAGATCTTGTAAAAAGAGACTGTACTCTGAATAACAATTTCAAGAAAATCATTGACTCAAGAGGTTCAAGAAATTCACCAATAAAGTATAATGTGTTGAATGAGATGGCTCTGAGCTTGCACTCTTGGTAAGACAGTCTAGTAAGAGCTGATGAGCAGAGTTGACTGTGTAAAATTATGCTGAATTGAAAGAGCCTCGAGGTAAGCTGTGATTGTCGGGCATTTATTACTGAATTAATCCTCATTTTAAAAAAATGAAAAAATGTGAAATTTGACAGTCACCTAATATAAACCAAGAGCTGATATACTAGATCAGTACTAGAATAAAAACTGTTTACAAAAACAAGTTTCTGCCTTTTAATCAACATAGTCACATTCTTAATATCCGAATTACCAAATTTATTCTGAGTTTTCAAAGCACAATATTAAGTATAGCATAAAATAGAATTTACATACATATAAATAGCATTCAAAAGAACACTGAAAGATAATTTCAACATTAAATAAAGCTATTGAAATATGTGTAACTTCTACAAAGATATGTCTCTCTGGTTAAATTGAATGGTTATAATTATGAAATTTTACTTTGATGATTTAGAGTATTTTGTTACTGTTTCAGGTGATTTTTATGTATTTAATCCTTAGGTAATTGATATTATTCTCCCTGCTCTATAGATGCAGACACAAAGTATAACATATAATAAATGAGAGAATCCATGTCTATGTGACCAAAACCCAGTGGATATTCCCACTGAACAACACTGTCTCAAAATAGCATAATTTGATAATTTAGGTTCCCAATAATAAATTATAGCAAGTTGTGTGTCATTTTAATAAGACTTTAATTTAATACTATTGAAATAGATTTTTGTAATGTATAATTGAATGTAAATATGTATCATAAGAGGAGTCTTGACTATGCCATTGGATACGAAGAGGGGAACCTGTTATTCTATTCATTATGATGAAAGACTGAATCATATAAACAGAAGAAAGCAGAAATACTAACAAACTTGGCTAAGAAACAAAGTCTAGGTACATTTAGCTTGGTAATTGAGTAACCAATTATAAAGAAAAGCGTGTGTGGTGAAAACACACTCAATGTGTTTTTCCTCTGCTCTCATGCAGTGATCAACACAGAAGATTTCTGTGAAAACCACAGGGAATTTCTCCCCACCAACAAACAAGCAATCAGTTCTTCCGTGGACGCCAGCTGGGGTCCTCTAATCCAATTCCCTCACTATCTACCTGAAGATGATGTCAGATTCCATAGGTTGAAGGGTCAGTCCCCAAGCCTCCCCACCCCTTCCGACAGCACTCACAAGTCTGGACCTTGGGAATTTCTGACCAACTGGCCTCAAGTTGGGGTTCCCACAACCCTACCTTTCAGTTTGATTTATTTGCTAAAGCAGCTCACAGAACTCAGGGAAACAGTTACTTATGATTACCAGTTTATTACAAAGATATTTTAAAGCATACAAATAAACAGCCAGATAAAGCAATACATAGGGTGAGGTCTGGAGGGGTACTACAAGAGCTCCTGTCCCTATGGGGTTGCAGTAGCCCACCATCTCCTGCACGCAGATGAGTTTTGTTCATCTTCTTGCAATCCTCCATGTGTTCATCCAGAAGCTCTCTGAACCCAGTCCTTTTGGATTTTTATGGAAGCTTCATTATGTAGACATGATTGATTAAATCATTGGCTGTTGTTGATCAGCTTAATCTTCAGCCTGCCCCCTTTCCTCGGAGTTTGGGGCGTGGGGCTGAAAGTCCCAACTCTGTAATCATACCTTGGTCTTTCTCGTGACCAGTTCCCATCCTGAAGCTACCAAGGGGCTGCCAACCACCAGTCAGTCATTAGGATAAAAAAAGTCATCTCTTTGGAGATTCTAAGGATTTTAGGAGCTGTATGGTAGGATATGGGGTTGAAAACCAAATATACATTTCACAATTTCACAAAAAGTGATAAAATAAAGATCTAAAACCAGAAACATTGAAATGCATTAGAACGTTACATATTATAATGAAAGCAAAGGAAGGTGCCTTTTTTTAAAATAATAGAAGAAACATTTTCTCTGCTTTCAACTCTGCTCATCTCCATTGTGCAAAGTTGCTTCACTGATGAATCTATTGAACAATTACTTGATATTTTAAACATACAGTCATTCTTTTCTTTAGGAGGAAAGTGTGTTAAAAATTTAGGAATTGTTTTGTAAAAAATAACTAAGCAACTTAAATTGAAAACAAAATTTTAAAAAGGCTTTGTGAAAAAAATTACATAGCAGCTAAATTAATAGACAATTTAACATTTCTTACAGCCTCAAAACTGGAATTCTGAGATATCCCGGGATCAGAATTACTAATCAGAGGTACCTTTTTTCCCCAATAAAAGATATTGGGAATCACAATATATGAATAAGATGACATGGAACAGCCCAAGACTAGGTATGGTAGGGGAGACAAATTGGCCTTTGCAGCTTCCATTATTCAGTTACACTGTAGCTAAGAGTCATTAAAGTAAGTAACGAAACAGAAAAAAAAGATAGAAGATGTTTGTTTTCGCATATCTAACAAGGTAAATATTTAGTATTTTTTGTACTCTTCTTTGATTCTGTTTCTTTTGTACTGTTGCTTAATTCTCTTAACCACCATGGTACCTTCCATTCTTAGTTCTACTTAGTCATAGCCAAAGGATAATCCCAGTCCAAAGGCTTGGCTCACCTACGTAATTCTTTATCTTGATATGTATTTGTGTGCCTCTCTCTCTGTATATAAGGAGAGAGTATAATACACATATTATACTATTAAGTACACAGATATACTATTAATTCTATGTTTTGTATGTATAATTTATTTTTATTTTTTATCATAAATTTAAATTCTACTGATCAAAATTTGTGACAATAGTGTCTATTTGTTATCTCCATATATGACTGAATTGGTGCTTACTTATTGCCAATATTTGCAAAATAATAATCCAGGAATTTAAATAATTATTTTTCTGTAAAAGAGGCATAGTTGTGGGTGCGTGTAATCCCAACTACTCAGGAGGCTGAGGCAGGAGAATCGCTTGAACCCGGGAGGCAGAGGTTGCAGGGAGCTGAGATCGGCCACTGCACTCCAGCCTGGGTGACAGAATGAGACTCTGTCTCAAAAGAAAAAAAAAAACCCAGAAATTAAAACACAGTTATGCAATTATGAAACTTATACTGGAGTTACTTGCAGAGAACAGTGGAAAAACAGACAGGGTATTAAAATTTTGGACACTGTAACTGTGGACTCTTTCTCAGACACCATGCGGATTGATAGTCAGTAGATGAACATATAATCATAATTTCAGGCAGCGTGTTTCTTTAAATTAGCAGAAAAAAGTATCACCAATGCTTAGATTTATTGATATTTTTTCACTGGAAACTGATTTTCTTAATTAAAAAAAAGATGCAATGGAACTTTAAACTTTCAAAAAGAAAAAAAAAGGAAATGGGGGGACAGAATGAAAGGGGGAAAGAAGGAAAAAAAATAATTATTTCTAATCAACTGTAGTGTCATCCTCATTTTTCCAGTATTCTTGCCCTTTCACTCAAAATATCCTCTGGTCTGTGGAGATCACTGCAAATCAGTTAGATACATCACCTTCCACTTGCTACCATATGTTGAATTCAGCTTGGGTCTTTTGATTATAAGCTCTCTGATGGAAATACATGGCTTCTCTGAATCTGACCAATTAGTGTTATTTTAATAGTTAGTACCAAAGGACTTGTGAGGATTAAGATATTCTGAGAATCACTATCATTCCTTGCCTCTCTCTTTTTAGAAATTTGTTATTTTATAATCAAGAGGAGACTCTTAAAATTATTTTTGTCCCACAGAAAAAGGTTTAGGCATTTTTATCTTTGAGAAAGAATTCCACCATCATTATTTCCTTCTTCTCAATGCATGCCAGTGCATAACTTAAAATCAACATTGCTTGTATAAGAGCAAAGAGAATTTGTAATTAAACCTCCAAAATCCCAGCCTGTCAGAAGTTCTAAGGAGAAAAACACAATTCAACTTGTCAACCGATAAAAATCATTTTACAATTATACAAACCAAAGTGTGATGAAATGTCTTTTCATGAAAGTGATAGTTATGCTCAAAACATGTGAAGAGACACCATGAATATGATGCCAAAGGTTTAAACTATTTGCAGGCAGCATTGATTCATGCCCAATAGCCCAATATTCTCTCTTTGGTCAAGTCCTTGGGTACCAGAGTGACATATTCACATGGAAAGGAATTAAAGCTAATGAGATGATATTAGAATGAACACTTAGAATTATCTTTGTCATTTACTGTTTAAAACACAGAACCTAAAATAGTCAATTTAATCAAATAAAACAGCTTCATTATTTGGCTTATATTTCACTGTGGAAATGTGCATTATAAAATTTAGTATAAAATAATAGTATTTTATATAAAATTCTTAGAGCAACCAATAAACACACATACACACAAATATACACTTACGTATAAAGATGATAGGTACATAGATCCAATGTTGGAATTGTTCTAAATAAAACAACTTAAAATTTATGAAAAATTTTTAAGCAACCTCCATAATTTCCATTATAAAATGGAACGTAAAAAGCAACATAACTGTAAGTTAGTGAATTTCCATTATAAAATGGAAATTGTAAATACTGATTCTTTATTTTGCTAGTAATAGTTCATTGTCTTAGTTACAGACAGTATTTTTAAAAAATCATCAAACACAAAATGTTTCTAAAATAAATTTTGATTGTAGACATATGTGCAATCCTTAAAACATCTTTTAAACAATTATTTGAAATTATCTGATATGTGACACAAAGCAATAGTCCTGAGGTCTATCAGAATTAAAAATTCTGAAGATCATACAATTTGTCTAGTCCTACCTCTTCCCAATGCTGCCATGTTTTTCTGTGACAGCACTGTTGGAATAGTCTCTAACTTTAACCAAGTATCTCTAAAACTTGAAATAATACCACTTTATATGACAGTCAATTTTTTTGGAATTAGTTCTTGTTGTTAAAAAGTTATTTTGAGGTGAAATCCAGTTCCTTAAGACTTCCACTTTTAATTAAGTTGTCCTTTATTATTGTTATTTGTTTAAACAGAAAATAAAGCTCAATAATTTTTTAAGGTAATATTCTTCAATAATGGGAGGCATCCCCTTACAATGGAAGTATAGTCATATACCAATGCAAGAAAATGACCTCTGTTCTAACAAAGACGCACAATTATTTTCTAGTTACACTGTAATGAAACTGAATATATAACTAGTATTTTCCAGATGATCAGAAACTATGTCTTAACATTAGGTATTAAAAAAGCAACATAACCATAAGATAATTAATTTTGCTTTAGAGATGTTATATAAACCAGTGTATAGAAGCTGCTTTCAAATTTCCTGAGTTGTTTTTTAAATAAAAGACAATAATATCTGTTAATGAAAGAAACATTTTTAAGAAAATAAAGAATAATTCTACAGACACGTCATATTCCTATGTTAGCAATTTATAAGTATTCTATCTGCTAAAAGCAATAACTAACTTTGAAAATTTGAATTAAATTCTTATTAGATTTATTTTGCCTAGTACATATAATAGAAAATAATTTATACTTGAAATGTAATTATGTCTTTATACATCCTTTCTTAGTTCAATGCGATTACTCTGCTCTGTTTTTTAACAGTGAAAACCAGTAATAAAAGAGACTCAAGTTTATTCTGAATGGAAGCTCATTTCTAGTGAATGCTACTGCTTCAACTCTTTGTTTTTCTTTTCCTTGGAAATCTGAGAAAATTCTGTGATTTGGATAATGAACACACGGTTTTCAGATTTTGTTTTAATCCAGCACAACTCTTTTGACACATCAAGCAGTCACAAACCCAGCTCTGGTCTGAGCATGATGACAAGTTGTCAGACTGATGTGCAGTGCCTATCTCGGCATTTTCACGTTTTGTAGATGACAAGGTGAAAAGTGAGTAAACACTACACAACAAGAGCATAAAATAATTCCCCGCTTGAATTCCATTGCTTAGGATTTCTCGAAGGGTTAGTTCAGTTTTACAAAATAAAAGTATATATTTAATTTTAAAATTGGCAGATGAAAATGTGTATACACAAAAACTGTAAGCTTAGAATATTAAAAATGCAAACAATTGCTTACCTTATGTGGATAGTCTATTTTCATTAGGTTACATATGGATGGAAACTATAGATTCTTACAAATACATTGTACAGATAGATGCCTTCACCACCACCATAAATGGTGATTTGGGGATTTGTTTTTTTTCTGGAAGGGAGAGAGGCATAGCTATAGCTTAATATGTCAGCAAGACAATATTATTCTGTCTTTAAATACAAAGCTTCTATCTAGTGTTTCCTCATGAAATATAAAATTCCACTTAAAATTCTAATCCTGTTTTCTACACTACACTAATTTTTCAAATTTATCTTTCAAACTGAATATCCAAACTAAAAAATGCTGTAAATCTAAGACACATTCTAAGAATAGGATGTGAGAAGAATCCATTGCTGTTAATGAACTTGTGATAATAGTTTAGTTCATTTAGATTTGCTTGTATCATGTGTCTGTTTCCTCTTGCCTCCTTTTCATTCACTCTACACAAAATTAACATATGGAATTTTCTACAAGATCTTTTAGCAGATCCTCATAGTTGATTCTTCTTCTGAAGACTTTTCTTAACCATCTTTTCCCCTTTAACAACTTTTGGCCTGAAACTATGGACTTTATTACTTTTCAATAATCAAACTTGCATACTTATCATGGTTAATTTAATCAGAATATCCCAGCCCCGCTACCCCTATGCACTGCGTTTTAAGAATTTCAACTTATTTGTAGCCACTGTTGGTTAGCTATTTCACCAGTAATATGTAATAAACAATGCCAAATCTGTAACAACACACATTCTTTTCTCATGAAGTGTCTGCAAATTTTTTTTGTTTTGTTTTGTTTTCTGTACTCAAATGGGATGGGCTTTAGGCTATGGTTTGGGATCATGTTTGTCCACATGTATCTCATTCTTGGGAGCAAGCTCTTTCAATAGGTGAGTATCAGAAGTGGGAGAGGCCAAGGCAAATTATGTAAGCACATTTAAGCTTTCTGATAAGCTTAAGCCCACTGATAAGAATCAGTGGGCCAGTAAGGTATACTCCAAGGACAAAGAAGCCATAACATGGGCTGGAACTGAAGGAAGAGCTGTGGACAAAATGTCACTTAACACCACTAGTTTCAAGGCATTCTATTTATTTTCAGTGCACACGTTAGCTACATACGACTTTCTTCCTCAACTTTTAGCATCATTACTCATTTTCTAAATTTCTAGATGGTATTAATCTCATGGCATTTGATAATCACCTTGTTTATATTGAAGGTATGTGCCTTTTCAAATGTATAGGGTTAAACCATTTTGATTATACGTTATATGAATTTTCACTTTAAATACGTTTACTAGAGATTCTTGATTCGTTTTATTTAATAAAAGGTGTCATTTTGAACCATAAGGGTCAGCAGCAATACTAGTTAGTTTTCTCTTTCCAGGTATAAAAGATGCAGATTGTAGGAGCCCAAATGTAATGATGGAGGCAAACAACGTAAGTGTGAGATCCCAGGCTGAGAGTGAACAAAGGGTACTTAGCTGAGATAGGACAGCAGAGAATCAGAGAGCAAGTGTTATAATTGGAGATACACCACATTCCTCTTATGTCGAGTTTCTTGTTTTATAGAAACTTCTGTCTTTCCTTAAACTATAGAGAAGTTTGATATATAAACCCAAATGTTAATTCAAATAGCATTGGTCGCTGAGTAAATTTAATTTGTGAGATGACATTTCCATTAATAGTTATCTTTTAAACAGCTATTTCAAGAATATTTTATTTTATGAATAGTTTAGAGATCTAATAGTTGAAAATTTCATTGTAGAATCATTTTTTATTCCAAGACAAGTAATTATGGAATTATTGTGGATCATTTAGAAATCTCTATGAGAAAAAAAATGTTAAGGATATTGCTTTATTTTGATACTGGTTTTCCTTGCTACTTACAAGAGTGGTTTTAAATGAGTAATTGATGATTGTCAGAAATGTTGTCTTAAGGCCAAATACTTTAAAATAAAATATTCATATTTTGAGTAATTTTAAAATATTTAATTGGCATATTTAAAAACATTAAACAGTAGGCTAATTAATTCATATAACCATATAGAGAATCATTTTGTAACAGATATTCATGGTAATTTAACTGAGAAGTTACTTTCCTCTTTTTGACATTTTTTGGTCAATAGCTCAGTTATTTTTAAAAATTCAGATTCTTAGTGTTAACATAATATCTAGCCAGACTATTTGACAGTTGTTCACCTGGTACATAAAGTTTTGGCTCCACTCAAAATGCTTTTATAGAAACTCTTTTTTAATTTTTTTTGAGATGGAGTCCCGCTCTGTCATCCAGGCTGGAGTGCAGTGGTGCAATCTTGGCTCACTGCAACCTCCACCTCCCAGGTTCAAGCAATTATCCTGCCTCAGCCTCCTGAGTAGTTGAGATTACAGGTGCACACCACCACACCCGGCTAATTTTTGTATTTTTGGTAGAAGTGGGGTTTCACCATGTTGGTCAGGTTGGTCTCAAACTCCTGACCTCGTCATCCACCCGCCTTGACCTCCCAAAGTGCTGGAATCACAGAAACTCATTTTTATACCCCTGCCTTGTTTGGAGGAACACATCGAAAATAGATCATACAAGCTAGTCTTTACATTTATTTTAGGAATTTTTAGAAGGTGTAGTCTCCTACTTCATTCACATTATTCCCAGCTTTGAAGATCACCTGGAAAAATGCTTCTGTCTTATGAATGATATTTACTTTATTTTTTGATTATTTAATAATTTTTAAGTTTTTTGTGGGTATTTAGTAGGTGTATATATTTATAGGGTACATGAGAAGTTTTGATACATCAGCAGATCATGGAGATTTAATTCATTTTAAGTCCATATAGTAGATTGAAGGCAAGATGATTGAGTCTCATGAGAGATAGATGTGGGTTCAAATACCATCTCTATCTTGGACAACTTTCTAACCTAACTAAGCTTCGGTTCCTCATCTATAAAACAGACAAATTACTCTCCTCACAAAATTTATCTGAAGGATAAATAATGAGAAAACACTGACCATGTAAGATAGCTAATACTACCCCTGTGACCTGTGAAAGTGCTAATGAATAGCTTTTGATGATGATGATGATGTATCATACATCTTTTTAAATTTTTGGCTAACTGAAAACTCAGACCCAAATTCTTAGTCTAACTTAAATAATTTTGCAAGAATTTAGTATTAACTTTTTGCATATTATTTCCTCTAGTATTATATTAAACATTTATTTGTGTTTTGCCATTTAAAATACCTTCTACTACGTATGTTTTTAAAGGCTATCTTATCCATGGTTTTTAGTGAAAAAAGAAAAAAAGAAAAGTTATCTTAAACCAAATCTGTAAGGATGCATGCTATTAGGTAAATAAATATTAAACAGTCACCTTTACAATAAATAGTTTTATTCAAAGGAATGATTTGTTTCTATTGCATTCCATCATAGTGTAGATTTATTGAAAAAAGTACTTATGCACTCTTTCAACTTGTGTAAGTGAGCAGTTTAAATGCACACCTCAGCGAGGATGTCACTCTTCTGAAAATATATTACTATACATAATATTGATTGGCAATGTTCAAAAGAGAGTGAAAATGAAGACAATTTAGGGATTGGGGAAGGTGCCTATAATGAACTTTAACTTCACATGAGTAATAAATTTTTGTTCTATGCTAGGGTATAGAGGCTGTATATAATGTAGTTTCGTACTGTGATACATATCAAAATAAAGTTTCTCCCTGCTTTTCTCTAATTAAAAATAAAGCATTGATTTTAAAACTATTTGTATGTATTGCTGTCAATACTTATGTTTAAAACACTACAAACTGAGCGATATCTTGACCCTGTTTTTATATGTACCAAACTTGATTGTCGTTAATTTTGGAAAATCATGTATAAAGCAATATTGTTTGAAATTATGTAAGTATTTTAAAATCGTAAGGCAAGTTGATAATTTTAAGTGTATGCATATTATTCTGTTTTAGTAAGAATTAATATTTTTCAGATTTTTAACAGGCACTTAGAAATTAGTAATTTACTGATAATAGATTTGGAACAAAAACTGAATAATGAAGTATTATTTTATACACTGTATTCTTTGGAGATTTGAAATTGCAGTGTGCTTTCTAGTTAAATTGAAAGGTCGTAAGAAAGGGAAATGATTAAATGATATAAAAGTGACAGCTCAATAATTACAAACATCCTATTTAATATGAATATAGCTTATCTATCAACTTGTTCTTAGTCATCACTGAAGTCCCTTCAGTAGCAGGTAGTATTGAAAATGTTGAATTAAACAGTTTAATTTACAATGAAATGAAATGAATCTCAGTGGAATAAATCAAATGTCTCACCCATGAAGGGTAATTATCTTTCTTTTTCTCAAAAAAAAGGCATCTATGACTGAGTTATGTCTTCTCACACTTGGAAAGTAACTGATGCTATTTCTAGGTGGATATTTATATGCCATTATTTAATTTTAATATATTTTTATAATTATACCTGATATCCTAAAAATATTATCAACAAAACAGCAATTACTTTGTCAGTTACTGTTGACAGCAAAGAGATTTCTCATGTAATTGAAAAATAGCAATTATTAACTCAAAAATCTGTAAATTGCAGCAAATGTAATTATTACTATGAATATTCTTATTTTTTCCAACTCTTTCAGTATTGTGGATTCTATTGTTAATGATCCCACATTTTCCCCCCTTTCTTTTCTAAAAGGCTGTTAGATAAACATGAAAGAGAAGTCGAAATGTCCTGCTGGCATAGTAAATCAGTGCATAGCTTGGCTTCAATCAATGAGGGGAGAACTGAAACCCATTACTGTGGATGAATACTTAACCGTCATACTTAAAGGCTCTGGTCCTTCAAATAGTTTGCAGAGACTACAAAATCAAGCTGGAGAAGTTTTCTTTGAACAGTGTGTAGGAATTTTAGTTAAATTGCTTTCATTAGCATTAGTAAGAGGCTCCAAAAAATGTCTGCATAGCTCTTTAGAATAGTAACAATGAAGTAAACTTTCATTAAATTTTTTTTTTAAAAATTCCTTCACTATTTTGTGATTGTTTGGAAACCTTGTGTCTGATACTTACAGTCAACATTCTGGAGGTTGTTAAAACGACCTTCCTTTTACTGAATACAATTCAGGAACAGTGAAGTGAGTTTCCCGACTCTGGCTTTGTAATTCTTTCTGCTTTCTTTCAGAGAATATTTCACCTTCCCTGCAGAGATGCACATTAAGACCACTAACTTGGAATGGGTCCTGATTGTTTTCCTTATAAGACTCTGATTGTGTGTGTAGATATGTACACATCCATGTATACATTTGGGTAAATATGAATATTCATATATATACATGCACAGAGAAAATATCTTTAGGTATGTAAAAGTGATACATTCTTTAGTGAATGTTAGATATTTATATAAGGAAATTTGAAAAGACAGTTTGAATCAAAATGGATTAGCCACCTGAGTATTCTGTATCCAGAGACTAAGAAATGACCAACTATATAATTACAGCATATGAGAACCCGGGGTGCTCAAACAAAGATAACTATGGCTCTTTCATTCACTCAAAGTCTAACATTCTATTGCTTTAAATTTGATGCACAAGAAAGAGGAAGAGATAAAAATCCAATGACAAAACAAAACAAATAAAAACTCCAAAGAAGGTAAAAATATACACCAAAGACAATGTGAGCCCTCCAAAAGCTCATTTCTTATTTTGGTTGCAAATGAGTTTTAAAGTTTTTATTGAAGATACAAGGTAGAGAATTGGACAACTGCGAGCAATCAAATCTGGTCCAGGTAGAGCAAGCTGATAGCAAACTGATAGCATGTTGGTATGACTCTTACTGAATTCCTCGGATTTCCACATCCTGATGAGGTTCTTTGCTCTATTTCAAAATGAACCACTTGCAAACACTTCCCCAAGTGCTGGAGTTGTTTGAGTGTTGGGCCGAACAGTATGAATCGGTAGTAATAAAAGCATCAACAGGATTCATTTGCAGCCTCCTACTGGGAGACACTTTACCTTAGCAGCTCAAATTATACTGAATCGTAATGAATGAAGAAGTGGATCCCTGCCAGGGAATAGTTTGTAACTTGGAAAAGTAGATATAATTACATAATAATTCTGCCTTTGCAGAAGGTGCCTCTGCTTTAGGAGTACCTGATGTTATTTACGGCTGTTACTTGCAGCTCTGTTTAGTCATCATGTTGGTATATCAATCAAACCCAAGAATTTTATATTCTTTTTATTTCTACTTTACTGCTAAACAAAAAATATAGTGGCATCTATTTCACTTCTGCAATCTATCTAAAATCTCAGCATCTTAACTCCTAATACTCTGCTCCAGGTTTTATTTACAGATCATATATATCTTTAATATGGAGGGATTTTTATAGTCTCTCATTTTCTCACCCCCTCTCCCATATACATATATATATATACACACATATATATACACATATATATACACACACATATATATACATATATACACACACATATATATACATATATACACATATATACATTTATATACATATATACGCATATATACATATATACACACACATATGTATATGTGTATATATACACATATATATATATATAATTTGCTTGCTATAAGATTTACCTGTATAAATATTTATACACTATACTCATACAGGTATCCTATAGCAAGAAATAGTAAAGGCTCAAATGGTGATTACATGGGAATATCTTAAATGAATCTATATTGTTCTTTAAAATATATCTCCAATTTTTTTGTTTCTTTGACTCTTATCGTTTTTCTTTAATATTCTTAAAATTAAAAGTTATTGAGGTGGTATATGTTTAATAGTCTAGAATTGTTCTAGTGTCTTAATGTAGCATGACATTACATTAACTATTATCAAAATATAGTGAAAGGAGTATATTAGCAAAATTAGATTTTGCTTTATTTCAGACAGAAATATGATGTTAAAATCATTTTTGTGCATACAATAGTTAACCCGCTTTCATGTAATGGTAATCTCTGTGAACCTCAGACAGCATATTATAGACACAGCTATTATATATGGTCATATATATATATGTTTTTAAGTAATATTTTAAAGTATTTTGGAATATCTTGTGGACAGCACTTTATTGATATTACAAAGCATACGAAAATTGAATTGTAACTCAGTGCTTAAATTAGAAACATTTCTACTTCAGAAACAGAACACTAATTTTGTCAACAAAATGGAGGACGAAGCCTACTAAAATAAATAGATAGTAAAGTCATGCAATAGGGATTAAAACCTGGCAAAACCTGATGATACGGATATAGCATGCATGCACACACACACACAGAGATATCTAATCAATAATACTGAGAACAATGTTTGCATTGGTTAAAGTTTATAGATGAATTGATAGAAATTGTTACAAACTGGTTATATATATTTAATTGAAAGTAGCTTGCAAGGGAGAAGGGAGATAAAAGCAGTGGTGATTTTTGATGGCCTCCAAGATGTCAGCCATTGTATTAGATGGCTTGCATGTATACTATTATTTAGTCTTCACAATAGAACTATGAAGTTGATATTTTACAATAAAGTTTCTTTAGACACAAGGAGAATAAAGCAACTTTCTCAAGGTAATCTTTTAGACAGAAGTTACCCATAAGTCAGCCAAGGTCTAGATAAAACAAAGTTTGCCACTTTATGTATACACAATAGGCCCACAGTGGGCCAGACAATTGCTTAACAAAATTGACTAGAAATGAGCAGATTGGTTAAACTACTCTGTTTTCTTAAACTTCTCAATTTTTTCATGTATAAAATGAGAAAATAAAAGTATCTACTTCATATGGTTGTTAAGAAATTTAAATGAGTTAATTCATGTCAAATGCTCATTAAGTGTTTCTTTTTGTAGAATTTTATCTTTTATCTGGTCTCTGTATAGAGTTGACTTCATTATCTGTGATGTCAATATTGAATGGTAGTAAAACAGGTGTAATATTTTTGATCCATTTTAGACATTTGCAACACATATGTTCTGTAACATTTTATCCTCTATTATTTATAGGTATGTTGGCTGTGAGAATCTAAGACCATGCTTTTTGCCACTCTATATTAATTTATAAATTTGTGGGATTCAAATGTTCTCTGGTTTGATCTTTTTTTATCTCACCCCAGGTCTGTTTTCCCAGTATCCTGAGATCTCATCATGGTGAATTTCCATTCCGACTTATACCTGACAATCTTTAATCATGTATCTTGTTGCACAGGAATGACTTCCCCTGTTCTCTTACAACTGGCACACAGTGACTTCTCATTCAAGACTCAGTTCAAAGATCTCTTTCTGTGGGAAACATTACCTGGCAATACTGCCATCTGTATAGTGTAGAAACAACTGCTTCTCAGGATAACAATTCTCAAATATTCAGGTATATAAAATCATGTGAGTAGATCATTAAAAAAATGTATATCCTCAGGTTCCATCCCCAGACACTAATTCAGAAGGAATGAGATGAAGTCAAAGAATCTGCATTTTTAACTAATGAAGCGAATAATTCTTATACAGTCCCAAGATCATACTTTGAAAAGCTCTACATTAGGAGAAAATGTAAAATTTGTATCAAGAATTACTTTAGAATAACTCAGTTGGCACAGTGTGTGTGGCATTAAAACTAGATTTACTAAGAAAGAAAATTAAGCATTCACCTCTTGAAATCTCAAAATGCCAATTAGGTTTTCACCTTTAATCACATTTCTCTATATAACTCCCTCTCCACAGAGCAGTCAGAGAGATCTATTAAAATATCAACCAGATCTCCTGCCTAAAACCCTCTAATAGCTTTGTATTACAATTAGAAAAAAAAAAGAAAGAAAACCTTCCTACGGCTATAAGACATATCTAGGCACTTTCTATTTCTCTGGCTATATTTCTTACAACTTGTACCTGGATTAAAATAAAAAGTTCTTATCAATTTGATCCCTTTTTTATTCCTCAAAAACATCAAACTCATCACATATATGCCTACCATGGGGACTTTTGTTTTCCCTGTTCTTTGGGTAGTGACCACTCTTCTCTTCGGACTGGCTCAGTCTTTTCATTTGATGTCTCACCTCAAACATCATCTCTTCAGAGAAGCATTTCTGAAAACTCTACCTGAACTATCTCCCACTCTCTCCAAGTCTTCTTCATCTTGTCCAGGACAGCTGCTGTCCTAAGTGCTGAAGATACTGTGGGGTATAGTATCTTCATAGATATTATAGATACTATAGAAGAGCTTAATAAATGGCTGTTGAAAACAAATACACTGTATGTAATTGAAACTCTATTGATACTCTTATTCCATGGATTATAGCATGCTAAGGTTGAAATAACATTCATGTATTGAAATAAATCTTTCACCAATTTGAAAACAGAAAATCTAGGCTGTAGGGACATCTATAGTTGAGACAAATGTCTGTTCAGTTGAGCCAGCAAGTGAACTTATCTGAAAATATAGATAAGAGAAATCAGAAGAAAAGGAGAAAGTTAACAAGACAGTTAATTTCTCCCACGAATTAATTTTTCATTGAAACAGCTACTTACTTAATATTAAATGTGTACACCTGGTTGTGTAAACATTTTAAACAATAGAAGTCTAAGAATCATTTAAATTTTAGTGTATTTTAAAAAATTTAATATATTTTCTTACCAATATTGTTTTTTAAAAGTAAAAACAAAATGAGGCTTTGGAACAATCAATATTTACCAAGTATATACTTTTGCCAAATGCTGTTTAAATTTAAATTTAAATCTCAACAGATGATACTGGTAATATTTCAATCTCATGACAATTTCTAGGTTTTTAGAAAATATTTTCCAAATACCAACAAATTTACTGGAGCTTAGTCCTTTAGTTCAGACTTGATAATTTATGTTATACTTTTTATTTTGCTATGCTTTGCTTTTCCTCTACAATACTTAAATGGCTTCTGATGTAGTTTGGCTCTGTGTCCCACCCAAATCTCATCTTGTAGCTCCCATGATTCTCATGTGTGGTGGGAGGGGCCTGGTGGGAGATGATTGAATCACAGGGGCGGGTCTTTCCCTTGCTGTTCTCATGATAGTGAATGAATCTCATGAAATCTAATGGTTTTAAAAATGAGAGTTTCCCTACACTAGCTCTCTCTTTGCCTGCTGTCATTCACATAAGATGTGACTTGCTCCTCCTTGCCTTCTGCCATGATTGTGAAGGTTTCCCCAGCCATGTGGAACTGTGAGTTCTCCATTAGACCTCTTTCCTTTGTAAATTGCCCAGTCTTGGGTATGTCATTATCAGCAGTGTGAAAACAGACTAAAACAACTTCTTAAATAAATTAGGCAAAATAAGCAATAATATCAGAGTCAGAATAATGCGTCGAGAGCTGTTTTGTGACCAGATAATTTAGGGAAGAGCCTTTTGTTGGCTGAAATAAACAAAGTTTTCTGGCTGCTTCTTTAATATATAGCTAATTCTTTTCAGCACCATATGGTTTGTAATTTCAGCTATAAATGTAGAAATTATAAAGAGCTAAATTTAGAGGATGCTCATGACAGCAACCCATTTGGAGATTCCCATGAGGTAAATGTCTTGATTTCATTATTCTCATTGTGGTGCACTTTTGTGGGTATTTTGGAAATTTTTCAGTGCCTATGACAAGCCCAACTTCACTATTAATTTATTTAGAGTCCCAGTAGAAACAAAACTTTTCTTTATAGAAGGTAGACTTGAAATTATGTTTTGAAAATACAATATGTTGTCTGGAAATTTAATATGACTATTATACCATTTTCAATAAAATCTAATAGAATAGATTTTATTCTATTAAATTAACAGAATAGATTTTATCTAAAATCGAAAATAAAATAACTTGAGTATTATTTTTATTAAAAGTTTATTTTAATTCATATCACGATGCTTAGAAAACCTAGTATAGAACCTTGGGAAACCTGCATAGTATCGTCAAGTACACGTACTATTTGTGAAGTCTATTGACAACAACTATGGAAAGTTCCAAAGCAAAGAGCATTGCCAATAAAAGCAGTGTACTGAGCTTCTTTTGAGAATTAAACCATGATTAATCATCATGTTTATTACTGAGTAATATTTGTGGCTGAGTGTTGCCATTACTTAATTTTTTGTGAGTGATTTCTTATTTGTTTGTTTTAAAGCTGGAAACAAGATAAACTTTGTTTCCAGATTTATAACTTTAATGTTCTGTAATATTCTCCCATATGATTGTTACTTTCCTGCTTTAGCAAGTCTAGCTTGCTGGAGATGATAATGCTTATATTGGAAAAGTATGAACTATAGTGGTTTTGAGAAGAAAAAAAGATGATCTATTAGACTGAACCATATTAAGTTGTCCATGAATATGTCAATGGTGCTCAATTTTACATATTAGATGCACTAGGGACATGTTAAAACAATACTAATGTCCAGGCCCCTCACAAACCAATTAGATCTGAATTTTTAAAGGTAGGACAAGGGCATCAGTTTTCTTAAAATTCAAACATTGTTTCAATATGCAGTCATAGTTAAGAGCCACTAATACATGTAATCCTGTTTTTCATAGAATATCATAGTCGCAACTTCCATGGAACCAATCACTGTATGCAGAGAATAACTTTCCATAAAAAAGGATGGGAGGAGAATAAATTTCCATAAAAGTAACAAATAAAATATTCCTTTCAAAGAAAGATTTTTAAAAATTAGGCCAAAAAGTGGAAATATTTTCAAATGTATTTAAATTCAATTTTGTATAATATAACAAACAAGGACCTTCACCAGTGAGAGTATGACGAAGCAGTTAATAATGGTTGCAATAGTGTCAATTCTGCCTATTTGACAAAAAATGAGGGAAATTTTAATAAAATATGAACCCCCAAGGAAACATCTGTGGAAGCGTATGATCGGAGTTTTGGAATAATACAAATATAAAAAACTTGTAAAATCCAAATTCCAGAGCTCTTTAGGTGAGAGGTAAATCTTCCTTGCTTGCGACTGCTCATAGGGCCTTTTTTGGCACATGGACAAGAATGTAGATGAGATGTCAGAAAGGTAGTAGAGAAGAGGAACGTAAAATGAAGTAACTAGGTATAAACTCAGCTATTTTCAATGAGGTATTAAACATATGCTACTACTCTTCCACAGATTAAGTTGCTTATAAAGAGAATATTTTACTTAGTATATTAGAAGAATTTCAAACGTGAATTTCAAGGTTTTCTTGCTTCATATAGGTGTATATTTTATGATATTAGTGGACTGAAGTATCTACTGAACTGAAGACATTGCCTAGGGACATATTTTTTAATTTTAAATATTTTTGAGCTTATTTTCTTTTTGTACCTCCTTGTAAAAGAAGTATATATAATTGAACCTAATTGCTGGTTCTAATTTATATGAACTTTTACATAGTGCCCCAAGAAGAAATAATACCTGTGTAACAAGGTATGTCAAAAAGGCTCTACAATTTCTGTCAAATCAAAGTTGAGTTAGTGCAGTTACACATGCTTGCCATTTTTTCAAATCATTGTTTCCTAAAAATAATTACAATATGGGCCTCTGAAGAATTTATGTCCTTGTGAATAATGCAATTTTACATATATATGTGTGTGCATGTATATTATCAATGTGTACTTGACTCTTTTATGTGATAGATCAATCATTTTAGATGCAAATTTCTAATTTCAAGTTGCTGACTTTCTGATAAGACAAAGGTAGATTTCTTGACAGAAACTACATAGCAAACTTTAAAATTCCATAGCTACTTTGTATTTATACATTCAATTTTCAAACAGAAAATTAATTTTTTTTAAATGTGTATATGTGCATACATGTATTTAACAATTCATTCTAATGGCTTGTGGCCCATGTTTCCAGATCTGTAAAATAGAAATTGTAGCAGTTCCTATGTGATGGGAGTGCTGTTAAACCAAATTATTTGATCCATGAGAAATACTTAGCATAGTACTCGTCACATATTAAAGGCTTAAATGAATGCTAGTTGACAAAATGAAAGGGATTAGTGGATACTTCTTAAGGTCTCTCCTTTATAGCTTATTCTAAACCTCCATTGCTATATTTCTTCTTGTTTTAAAAAATACAATCTCATGAAAATGGTAAGGATCACATCATGCCTGATGCACAAAAAATTTTCTGAGAACACACACATAAGCGGCATATACAGGAATAGAACCTAGATCTTCTTTTTCCAAATTTTTGACACATTCTACTATGTCACACTGCCTCCACAATTCCACATGGTAAAATTATTTCTAAGTGGGTAAAAAATACTCTTACAGAATTAAGTGAATATGTTCAAAAAACTAGTCACAGTAATCTCGAAGAAGTACAGTGATTTTTAAAGTCTTATACCTCCGATGGTATTTCGAAGATTGTTGCACACTATAGAAATTTTTAAGGAAGTGTTTTCTTTAATCTTTTCAACATTTTGCATGTTCAAATATTACAACTAAAAGAAAAAATCTTTGAATTAAGTATTTCCTTTTTACTATTCTAGAGCTGCCTTTATCTTGTAACATTAGTGTAATAATGAACTAATTTGTTATATCATGGGTAATTTATTTTAGGACATAAAAAAATTTAGTGCATACAATTTAACAAATAATATATACACTAATTTATGTATTTGTAATGTATGATAGTTATTTGGATTTAAATCTAGAAAAAAACTCTGAGTTAAAAATATATGTACAGCCATGCACAGTATAATGATATTTCAGCCAATGATGGACTGTGTATACCGGTCATGTCCCTTAAGAGTATAATGGAGATAAAAAAGTCCTATTGCTCCGTAGTGTTGCAGCCGTCATAACATTGTCATATAGAACAATACATTACTCATATGTTTCTGGTGATGCTGGTGTAAGAAACCTACTGTGCTGCCAGTTGTTTAAAAGTATAGTACATAATACTTGACAATGATAATACAAGGCTATGTTACCAGCTTATGTATTTACTACAATTTTTATCATTATTGTAGATTGTACTCCTTCTACTTATAAAAAAGACTTAGCTGTAGAACAGCCTCAGGCAAGTCCTTCAGGAAGTATTCCGGAAGAAGGCATTGTTATCATAGGAGATGACAGCTCTATGAATGTTATTGCCCTTGAAGACCTTCCAGTGGGACAAGACGCAGAGGTGACAGACAATGACACTGATGATCCTGACCCTGTGTATGCCTAGGCTAATGTGTGTGTTTTTGCCTTGGTTTATAACAAAAAAGCTTAAAAAATAAAAAGGTTACTTTTAAAAAATGAAAAATTGAAAAAAGCTTATAAAATAAGGATATAAAGAAAGAAAATAGTTTGTACAGTTTATTTCAAGCAATGTGTTATTACAAAAGAGTCCAAAATTTTAAAAAATTAGAAATGTATAAAAATTTTACAGTAACCTAAGGCTAATTTATTTTTAAAGATAGAAAATTTAAAAAATAAAATTAGTGTAGCCTCAATGTACAGTGTTGATCAAGTCTACAGTAATGTACAAGAATGTCTTAAGCCTTCACATTCACTCACCACTTACTCACTATCTCACCCAGAGCAACATCCTGTCCTGAAAGCCCCATTTCGCTAAGTGCCCTATCAAATGTAGCATTTAAAAACATTTTATACCACATTTTGTACTGTACCTTTTCTGTTTTGATATTTTTAAATACACAAATACTTATCATTATATTATGATTGCCTACAGTCTTCAATACAATAACATGCTGTATAAGTTTGTAGCCTATGAGCAATAGACTTAAAACCTAGGTATATGGTAGGACATGCCATCTAGATTTCTGTAAGTACACTCTATGATGTCTACACAACAAAATGCTTGTCTCAGAATGTATTCCTAACATTAAGCATGACTGCACTTGTTAGTTCATTAGAGAGGTTATTGTTGAATACCTATTATATCCCATTATAATCTTTCTTTAATAGGCAGAATAACTAACAATTATCCTGAAAGGTAAATATTAACATTCTACTCTTTCCTTTTTGGTACCTGGCATGATTAAATCATGTATATTCTTTTTTTTAAATTGAAACATGCATATATGTTTACAAAAGTCATATATTTTTTGAAATGAAGAAAAGATAAATCCTCATGTTGATACTATATCACATTGCAAAATCTATGCTTTAATATCAATAATTTAATTGAATTTTTTTCTTTAATATGTTCTAGAACGTCTTGAAATAATTTCTTTTGAATTTAAAAGGTATTATTGGCCGGGCGCGGTGGCTCACGCCTGTAATCCCAGCACTTTGGGAGGCCGAGGCGGGTGGATCATGAGGTCAGGAGATCGAGACCATCCTGGCTAACAAGGTGAAACCCCGTCTCTACTAAAAATATAAAAAATTAGCTGGGCGCGGTGGCGGGCGCCTGTAGTCCCAGCTACTCGGGAGGCTGAGGCAGGAGAATGGCGTGAACCCGGGAAGCGGAGCTTGCAGTGAGCCGAGATTGCGCCACTGCAGTCCGCAGTCCGGCCTGGGCGACAGAGCGAGACTCCGTCTCAAAAAAAAAAAAAAAAATAAAATAAAATAAATAAATAAATAAATAAAAGGTATTATTTAGCTTATTATTTCTCAGAAGGGAAAACTTAATATCCAAAAAATGACAATAACTTAGCCAAGAGCACCTAATAAGTGAATGCAAAAGCAGGATTCAAATGCTCGTCTTCTTATTTCAAAACCCATAATGTCCCTACCATTCAAGACTGCTTTCCTCCAGGAAAAAATAATATATGAGGGAAGACAAATTTATCACAAAAATTTAGGTGAAAACATGGCCAGATCAAAGCTCCTGAAGCCAAATATAATTAAGTCTAATCAAAGGCATCAAGGTCCCACAATCTGATGTTTAATGCTGTATTCTAATGCGATATATGAACAAGGGGGTTTATAACCTTATAAATAACATTTCTAAAGAGTGCAATTCCTGGGATTCAACATTTCCCTTTCAAGACACAAATTCCCTTAACACATCAGCATAGTTCAGTAAATGTTGATTTGCAACCATCATTATTATCTCTTAATTGAATATGTAGATATTACAGATGTCTCCTGAACACTTGAATTAAGTCAGACAAAATGAGTAGCCTCTAGAAGATTGCAATTTGAAGGGAAAGCTATAATTTAAACATCTATATGAAATGCATGAATTTCAAAGTACTTTGAAAGAGTTTTATATTATGAATAAATAAAGTTGTTTAATTCTGGACATTTTCCAAAATTATAATATTTAATTTCTGTGTTTCCTAAATTCTTCTCTCAAATAAATATCTCCACAAATTGATACAACTACAGCTGTGAAAATATTGAAAAAATATTTTCAAACATTGAACATTTGGTTATTTCCTCAAAGTTATGATTTTTAGAACAAGAGGTGTTTGCTTTCTAAACAGTTTTTATATGTTTCAACAGAACTAGTTATAAGAAATTCACATAATGTTGATGTTTTCCATTTACTGCTTATTATACTTATGTTTTATTTGAGCATTTTTACTGTAAATATTTTCTACCATTTGTTTTACTAAGGTTATTTTTTTAAATAGGTAAAATTTTAAAATGCTGTTGGATGACTCTTAAAATTTGCTTTAAATGCCTTAATCATTCCATACTTATTTCCCCTCCCTGAAGGTTTCTTTCTTTATCTCTAAAGGTTACTATTTATTTTTTTCTTTCTTTCTTTCATCACAGAATATAATATCAGCAAATCACAGGCATGCATGTAAAAAGTATATAAAAAGAGAGATATTAGGGTGTTTTTCTGCAGTCGTTCCTAAAATATTTCCCCAATGTAAACTTAGAAAGGTTTTTTCTGTTTTTGTTTTGTTTTGAAGAAGAAGAAGAAAAGAGACGAGTAAAGCACTTGTTAAAACAACAATATTTATGATTCTGAAGGTGAAGGTTACAGAGTACATTCCTGTAAAGAGTAAATACGAACCAAAAATTATTTTAAACTTAAGAGTAATCAAATTAGTTTAAATTTGTAGGTAATATGGGTAAATGGTAAATAAGAAATGAACATTATTTTAAATTTATTAACTTGTTGAAAATAATTTCAAATTTGCTTTAAAACATTACAATGATTAAAGATGTTTCAAATCTTTCTTTTAGTTTTTCATCTTTACTTTTATTAAAATATCATAGAAGATAATAGGTGAATGTCTTTGAAGCATTCAGAAGTAGATGTATGTGAAAATAGTTTACAATCATCAGAAATGTTGAGAGTTATGCATCACTAAACATTGCATCGCACACTATGCTCCCGTGTTTACTGTAACATCTGACATCGGGCATGAAATTCAGGGTCAGCCTTTAGTAGATACAGGAAAAGGTGTCAACTTGGTGAAACAAACTTCTCCATCACATGCCATTGACTTTTTCAGGTATTAAGTTCAGTCAACTCGTAGAATGCTCTACCACCAGGAGTTGTCTTACTGTTTTTTTCATGGTACCCGAATGTATTCCTTTATCTTTGTATTTTCTAGAAACTGCCAATATGTGTATAACTTGCCTTTTAATTTGAATTCTAATTAAAAGGCACATATTTTATGTTATTTTATTAGTAACTTGGATTGAACAAGTGTTTGTATGATGTATTTGGAGAACGGCTTCTAATACGAAGGCAAATAGTGTCATTAAGAAGGAAGAAAGTTTCAGGGCAGAGACAGAGACTATCAGAGCCCTGAATCACTGGTATGGAATGTAAAAGGACCATAGTATCTTCAAATAGGACATGAAATAAATAAAAAAAATGACATGAAAGGGAATAACTATTGAGAAGGGAATCTTTCTGCCCTAACTCCAAATCTTTTTATGATCTGAAAACTTGAGAAGGCAAGATCTTTGACATACAATAGAAATGTGACATCCAAGTTATCAGTTTTATTTATTACCATTTTTTTCCTTCATCACTTCAAAGCATGTCTAAGGAGCACCTACTGAGTGCCGAGCAGATATGTTAGCTGCTTTGAGAGGACCTTGTTCCTCAATGTCCTCCGTGTAATTCTGTGGTCTCCTGCCTCTGCCTTGTGCTGTCATAGTACCTTGTGCATTTCATTAGGATAGTACCTGTCACCAGGTATTGCAGTCATATGCTTATTTCTCTATTTTCTTCCCATTACTCTGCACATTTCAAATCTCGTTTGTTAATCTGCAGTACTAAATATAATGCTACACCAATCACAGATTTTCAGATGTTGTTGAACGAATGAGCAGAGCACAATCCATGTTTAAGAAGTGATTCCAGGCATAGAATCACTTGTATAATTAGACTCAAAATTTAAAAAAATGTGGTTTTTGAACATGATGGGATAACATATTATGGGAGAGTAATGTTTATATAGAAGAGACAACACCTAGTTGACACTTAACTCATAATCACGTATTCACCAGGGTTGGAGAGGTGGAGTTAGTATTCCATGCATCAGTATGGAGGCTGTAATGTATGAGAGAGATTGACATTTTTAGGGAACAGCAAGACGTTTGGTATGTCAGGAGCCAAGACCTGGTTGGTGGGGAAAGCAGATTGGGATCAGACTGTGAATGGACCCAGACAACATTATACAGAAACTGGATGTTTTCCTGAAGGTAGCAAGGGATCAGCATAGGATACACAAGTCAGGTTAAACGTCATTCTGTTAACACCTTAAAGGATAAATGAATGAAAAAGTACTATTGACAAAAAGAGCAATTTAGAGATTGTTGCAGAATTTCAGTTAGAAAGTGATTTAGGTCTGATCCAAGATGATGACATTAGGTTATATTCTGGAATTTAAGCAAGTCTTTGAACCACATTTCTATCTTGCTTCAGAAAGTGGATTTCTACCATCTTAGTTTTTGCCTAATCTATACCTTATTATGCTCACATTCCAGAGCCAACTAAACATTATTCGAAGAGTCAACCCAAATAATTAAATTGGAGCCCTAAAATCCACTCTGGCTACTAAAGCCCAACTTTGTAACATAGAGCATGTTAAAATTTAAGTTAGAACTTCTACCACTGCATTGCATGTCACAAACATGTTATTGTTTTAATGTATTGCATTAATGCGTTTCAGCCTCTAACATTGAGTTCTGTTGGTTCTTCATCTTTTCTTAGCTAAAAAAAAACTAGTGATAGAAGTATATACACTAGTGATAGAAGTAAATACACTAGTAATAGAAAATATTTTTCCAATTCAGTTAACCATTCGTTATATACAACTTTTTTAAATGTTCTACCCTATACTCTCATCTCTAGCATCATGAGGCACGTAGAACTATAGTGAGAAAAATCTCACATGTTGGCTTCCAGTTCTTAAATAGCATGATTTTCATATGAAATGGAAAATTATTAGAGCTGGACATTTTAAAATAAGATTGAAATCAGTTGAAGCAGCCTAAGTTCTTGGTCTTGATAGGTTATTTTTTCCCAAAATTATATTGTTTGGACAGGGAGAAAGAAGCTTGGAGTTAGAATTATATCTAATATCTTAAACATTTTTCCTTTAAACCTCTGGGGGACAGAGATATCAGGTATGAAGGTTAGAATGTAGGCATGAATGGGCCGGGCACGGTGGCTCATGCCTGTAATCCCAGCACTTTGGGAGGCTGAGGCCGGCAGATCACGAGGTCAGGAGATCGAGACCATCCTGGCTAACACCTTGAAACCCCGTCTTTACTAAAAATACAAAAAAAAAAAATAGCCAGGTGTGGTGGCAGGCGCCTGTAGTCCCAGCTACTCGGGAGGCTGAGGCAGAAGAATGGCGTGAACCCAGGAGGCAGAGCTTGCAGTGAGCCGAGGTCGCACCACTGCACTCCAGCCTGGGCAACAGAGCGAGACTCCGTCTCAAAAAAAATTAAAAAAAAGAAAGAATGCAGGCATGAATGAGATGTGTGCACTTACTACAGTTCTCAGGCTTTCCATCTCCTTGACCTTCAAAACAGAACGACCTCACAGGCCTCAGATTAAAATTGATACAAAAAAAAGAAAAAGAAAAAAATCATTCATGTATTTGCCAGATATAATGGGAGGCCATTACCCTTTGCACTGCAGAGATGTGTGGAAAGTGTCTCCTCATACTTAGATAGACAGCCCTGTTTGTTTAATACTGCTACCCAGTTTTGAGTAAACTAGTTATAGTCAGCAGGGAATTCATTCAGAAGATAGATTATGGAATAAAACCAAATTTGACACGATGAATATATTATTTAAACTTTAAACCTAAGAGATACTGGTTTACTGCAAAAAATAGCAACTAAAAAGTATTATATAGAGAAAATAATACAATGAAAAACTAAAAAGTATTTTATGGAGAAAATAATACAATGAAAAACTAAAAATGAAAGTAAATAAAAAATATTAACCTCATAGCAAGGAGGAAGAATAGAATGGAAGGTTTTTAAAAAATAGTTTAAAAAAAAGCTGTTGTCACTTTTCATTGAAATTACATGAAATGAGACAAGAAATTTAGTTTAAGATTTAATCAATTATGATGATAAAATTTTTAGGAAAAAATTAAGTGTCTATTATTTGCTCAGATAACCTAACTTTACAAGATAGTTATCCAAACTTTTATATAGCTTTACCTGTGATTATACCACTTGGAAATGCTATTAATGAGGCAGTGGTAATAATGAAATATCTCATAGAAAAGATGATTCATTATTCAGTGCAGTACAGTCAAGCAAGTTTCAAGTTGCATAATTGTAATAGGAGCAGAAAATGACAAAGACAGAAGAAACCTTGTTACAGGGTACAATTTAAATATAGTATTTGGGAAACGAATGTGAAAGACATTTTTCCCTGAAATTAAAACCAACTCATCTGCCTCACATTCTTTTTCACAGTATTTCATCACAATGTCTTCTCTTGTTGAATTTAAATGACTGTGACATTATTTTTCATACCTTGGCAAATTTTGCAAGGAGATATTGTCTTAAGTATATTAATAATTCTTAAATGTGTGGTCAAAGATTGGGTTTAATTGGAAACACAATTATAATATTGATTGTTCATAGTTCAATTTCTTGGCAGATATTTCTTCTGCAAGCTACTGTTGACCATAAAAATGGAATGGTGATTTTGAATTGTACCATGCTTGTTTAATGTAGCACGTATACTTCTTGGCTTAACATGGGCTGCTTTACAAAATTGTATAAAACTGGCTTGCTTTATTTTTCTACAGCACAGAATAGCATGCTGCATGTATTATTCAACTTGTTGAAGCATCCTAGAAAATATTTTTTATTGTTAAAATTGTAGTGACAAGTAGACGTTAATTATTTGTTATAACACAAAGAACTTTTATACTATATTCCAATTTTGTTTTACACTGAAGTCTTCATTTGAAAATATGAGCGAAAGATTGACTTTAAATTTCCAGAGATGATTAGCTGCCAGCTCTAATCAAATTGAGAAGTAATTAGCAAATCAAAACTTGATTAGGTCTTTGCTTGATTTACTGAAATTACAGTTTATTCAGTTTAAATAATGGGGGAGGGGAGTTGACTATACTTTAGATAAAGTAGAATCAACTATGCTGAAGCAGGAGGGGAGCCCAATATCCTAAGAATTGTCTAAACCTGACAATACTTTTTTTGGCATTTCTTTGTGATACTATAATGCTACACAGTAGTCTTTTGTGTTTTTATGAGAATAAAGGTTTCTGTCATTTGTCAAATATAATCTGATATATATTTTAAGTTTTTAAGGATTATTGTTATTATATGTGGAGTCATTGTTTAATCATAGATGTTAGATGTTTAATCATAGATGTTAGAGCCCTACCCTCATTATATTCTTAATACATTTTTTAGGCTCCATTTCTAAATACAGCTACATTGGGGGTTAGGGCTTTAGCATATGAATTTTTCAATTCCTGGATATAAAAAAGTTTCAAGGTATGCTAGTTCATGCATTTAACTATTGGATATTTAAGATTGAAAGAAAGAAAGTGAGTATACCCATGCATTACTCTGCTATGGTTACCATAACAGAATATCACAGGCTGACACACACTTATTTTCTCAGAGTTCTAGAGTCTGGAATTTCAAGATCAAAGTTTTAGCAGCGTTGGTGTCTGGTGAGGGCTGTCTTCCAGGCTTACAGACGACCACCTTCTTGCTGTATCTGTACATAGATTTTCCTGTGTGTGTGCAAAGAAAGAGAGAGAGGAAGAAAGAGAAAGAGTTCCGGCATCCATTGCTCTTCTTAGAAGGATGCCAGTCTTACTGGATTAGGCCCTATGCCTTATGACCTCATTATATTCTTAATACCTCCTTATAGGCCCTGTTTCCAATACAGCCACACTGGGGTTTAGGGCTTCAGCATATGAATAGTGGTGGAGGAGCACAATTCAGTCCATAGCAACTAATAATCAGTGTTTCTATACAAAACAAACTTAATAGAACCAAATGATAAAAGAGAAGAGAACTTTCTGCCCGGTTACTTTCACTGCCCAGTAGCTGCAGGGCAGTGAGAGGTACAGCAGCAACGTTCCAAACCAAAAGTGTCCCCAGCACTTCTTGAGATGACACTCAGAGCTACAATCACCCTTCTAGATTTCACTCTCATGGAATGACCGTTTTGGTCATTGATATCATGCCTTTGCCCAAACTTAAATGTGAAAGCCCTTAGCCAAAATTAAATAGGGAAGTAAGTAACTCTGGCTCATTTCTAGAGCTTCAAGTACAGTAGTATGTATTTTAATAACTTTGAAGTCTCAAGAATTGCCAAAACTGCAGCTCATTATTTTCTGTCAGCTATTTGTTAAGTGGTCCAGTTTTTCATTGCTTCCTGAACAAAAGTCAGGAGGTTCAAAATGTCATTTATATATCCAGAAAGACTCTTTTCTGGCTCCCTATCAATAGTGGCACCATTATATAAGATTTTTCCTAATGAAGTATGTTTTTTTAAGCATTCTATTTTTGGAGGTGTATACTAAACTTAATTGTTGAATAACTATATCAAAGTTCTTAAAATTTTGATTATAAGCCCATTCTTCTCTTTTCTGATACTTTCTCTCATCTAGAAAGTATCATATGGAATACATTCAGCCATCATTTTTAATAGTTAAATTGAAATTTTGATTTATGAAAAATAAAAATTGTATCTCATAAGTGATATTCTACTTTTCCCCATATCATTTAGTTGTAGATTTTTTCAAGTAAGGCATTTAAAACACAAATCCGTTTCAGAAATATGACAAAATTGTTGCAGCAGTTAAAAGACAAGCTGCGTTTTAAACAACTTTTTATTTTAAATAAAGTAATAAAATTATAGAGACATCTAGGTACCAAATACAATTTTCTAGAAAACATTTTAAACACATTAGACTTTTGAGGCAAACACCATGTATTTAGACAACAGTAAGTTTCCTCTCTCACTTTGTTTTTACATAAAAATAAATATAAATTTGCTTTTACTGGTCTTATTAGTAAGGTGGTTATGCTAGAACTATATTAAAGTCACTACATGATTTTCAGATAATTTTAAGGGTATATTTACTTAGAGATTAAAGCTCTGTAAAAATTTTTATACCACAATTATTTTTATTAAAATTAATCTTGGATATAATAAAATAATGAAATGTTTGTTGAAATGAACTTTTTTAAAAGTAAAAATATATAATCTGTAAAGAATATCCTTACAATATGGATATAGTGTTTTTTCTATTTTAAGAATGATATATTGCCCATTGGCCTAAAAATATATTCAGAAATAAAAGACAACAAAAGAAAAACTTTATTTTGAAATGTTGAACTCTGGGGAGGGGGTAAGAAAATACGTTATTAATAGAAAAATAATTCTCAAAGTGGAACAGCATTCTTGACCCTAGATATACTCCCTATGGTGTCTCTTTTAGAAATGTATTTGAACTAAATCTGCCTTCATGAGTTAGGACAGTAAAATATTTAAAGCAGTAATACTTTTTTTTGTTGTTGATGTCCCTGATCAATGCAAGCACTCAAGACCAGCCTGGATTCTAGTGGATCATTTCCTGTCATTTCAGTTAGTACCTGGGATAAAAATTACATTCAATGTTAAACCTAAATACTTATCCCTTTTAGTTTCCTCCTTTGGAATACAGCATTTCTATAAGCTTCCATAGCAACTGACTTCAACCTGAACTGTTTCCTAGATGATTGGGTGCTTAGCTTTACAATTGTTTATAGACATGTCAATCTAGTTAAATATCAGATAATCATTCCACAATAAATTTTTATGTTCTATGATTTATTCAAAGGCACATTCTGAAAATCCTCAAAACTTGGTTTACTGGTAAGCAGTTAATGAATGAAGTCAACAGTCAATTAGGAGCACAAAAACTGACTTCAAGTTTCTGACAGGGTGATTTTCTCTAAAAAGAAGTATTCTGGTGCAATAGAACAAAACTGTGAAACAGGTAGTTTGCATTCACTGTTTCATACAGTCATATCAAATTCTCATCACTGTATCAACTGATTTTAGAGGAAAGTTGTTTCTCACTAAGTATATTTGCATTTTAAAACAGAACACTGTAAATAAACCATAAAAAAGTCTTGAGGACCCAAAGAAAGGAATGACATTTTAGGCACGATGACATATTGTAGAGGGAAGTTATTCAGAATAGTAGTCCTTCTGGTTACTTCTCAAATCGCAGCATAGAGGTGGTCTATTTTTGACTTATACTTGAAAACTAGGCCAGATTTAAAGCCGGGAAATAAAATATTATAATATATTTTTATTAGCTGCCAATGTGTCTTGTTGATCAATCTAATCTATTTTGTCACTAATTAACACAGGGCAATAAATAAATTAATTCTTTGGACTGTCTTTATATCCTTGGCCTGTGGTAAAACATCCCATGTCTTCTAAAGACATACAAGGTGTTTTTCTTTATAATATATTCTTTGGTTTTCTATGGAAATTTAAAACTCTCTATTCAAGCAATTTTTTGAACGTAACTTGGATTTGTAATCTTAGGCATTTTAACAATTTAAGCTTTGGTCTCATCGTCTATAATGTGAGAGGAATTTAATTAGATCAGTGTTGGGAAAGATGAGGGACAAAATTCCCAAAACACTGCCCTTTACCAAGTACCCATGAAAGATACAGATAATTAATTTGTCATGTACATTTTCTTGCTAAAACTTGTAATATTTATTCAAATTTATACCACATAGCCATGGTATATAATTTGAGTTTAGCATGGGAAATGAAACCATTTTGTAATCCTCAAATATAGATAAACACGGAGCTTTCCTTTTAGCTTAAGTTTTTAATTGTATTTTTTCTTATACCTAGAATGTTGTCCTCATTTATACTAGATGCCAGGAGTTTTGTGGAATATATATATTTGTGCAAACTACTTAGAAGTTTTAAAAAATATTTAACATAAAGGAAGTTTTCAAAAATATTTAAGATAAAGGACAACCCTTTACAATACACACTAAAGTTAATCTGTTTTAGAGACTTGTGAAATTTTTTTGCATAGAGAGTGTTTTTGTGATTTTTAATATTTGAGGACACACTTTATAAATGATGCTTTTTTAAAATTGACTTTTAGAAAAATTCATTTAAATATAATCTGTATTAAATCCCCACATAGAACAAAAGACAAAAAATATTTTAGATGCAATTTTATTTTATAAATGTATTGATTGCTAATTTTATTCAAATATTTTTGTGACCCCTACCCCTTATTAAAAAAATGAAAACTACAAAACCACGTAGATATCCATTCACTAATTTCATATCAACTATGATTCATATTTCTCTAGACAACAAAAATAAAAGAAAGGAATTGACTTGCCACTCAGTTGATTAGTGTTTATGTATCAATAGATCCTTTCTGGGTTTGATTAAGTCTCCTTTTATCATTTCCATGTATCCCATCTATGTTTCCTCCATTTATTCTGCATTTTTATTAATTTTCTTTCTTTCTTTTATGTGCAATTGAAATGAGTTACATCTTGCCCATTAAGAAACTGTTTCAAAACACTTTGGTCTAAACTTTAATACAGATTTTTGCCCATGTTTCTGTGGTGTAATTTAGGTAATTGACAGAGACAAAGCCAGTTCACAAAGTTAATTAAAATTTCCCATCTCTTCACTTCCAATTAGTTTCATTGATATGACACACTTTTTTCTATTTAATGTCTTCCCGTTATCACAAGGCAGTACACAGGTTATGCTAGTTTGTCAAATAAATGGTGATTATTAAAATAATCTTTAAGTAGACACTATTTTGATGTTTTAATTGTCCTCTTGTCTTTGAGCAGCTGAATGTTGTAATTAGTATTTACTTCATTTACGTAGCAATTTTAATTTGTTCTTGAAGGTTTTTTCCACCCCCCTCTATCTGGGAACCAGAAAGGGTTTAATGCAATGCAAAGGAAATGAGAAATAATAGTATTATATGTTTAACTGCAATGTGGTAACTGAAATAATGGTTTAAAACTATGGCATCTTTAACTCTGATTCTATATGCCTCTCTTAAATGTTTAAAATCATTTATTATGTGGGGCATATAACTTTGTTAAATTATATTTAATCTAAAGGAAGTTTTATAGGAATGCTGTTAAAGAAATTTTTGTAGATTAATGTTATAGTCCTAAGAAGAAATCCAATAATTACTGCAAGTTTTTCTCCATTACTGAGATTTCACCTGGATGGCTTAGTTTTACACACATTACAAGAGCGTTAACATCTTTTCTTTGGATGCATTTTTGAATTTAGCTTTTTTGAAAGCCATGTAATATTCATGGAAATGAATCATCTGTCAAAATAGTCGTTTTGGTTTTTATATTTTTACTCATAAATTCAGATTCATCAAAATACTTCTCCTTTTTTTTCCTCCCACAGTGGATTTAATGCCATGTAAAAAGAAAGAAATAAGCTATTATTTTGATGATTTATGTTTTTGTAAATTCCTCTTGTGCTCTATGTAGAAAGAGAAGTTAACCAGACTGGGTGAAGAAATTACTTTTATGATATAACATCCTTTTCTATGGAAATTGAGACCATTTTAAATAAATTTCTATTTTAAAGCAATAAGAAAAACAGGATGATGAATACTTTGCAAAAAGAGTTATCTGAATTTAGAATACTTCACAGACTCTTAAGAGATTAACTTCATTTTTATTACAATGGCCATTTCAATGTCATCACTTTCTAATGAAACCACTTCTGTTTCTTAAGAGTTTATTTTGTTCATTTATTTTGAGTCAATAACTATATATACTTATTGTTTAGCAAAATATTTATGTAGGACATCACTTAAATTAATTATTTTATAGAACAGAAAACTGAAGTAGCCACAAAATATGGCTGAGATATGCATTGCTGTTGAATTTTTATCTTAAATTCTGTTTCCCAAAAAGTTCTAACTCTCATGTTTTGAAATCGATAAAGAAAACATATTCTAAAAACAAGAAGCACTTAGTTAGTGTTACCTTCTCTAACCCAGACAACTGTAATGTCACTGTTTTATGGTACCTTTAGTTACAAAAATCAGAAATGTAGTTAAGTTACCTTAAGAGAAAGCAGATTTATGAGATTATAGATCTCAAGGAATTAAAGGAAAGGCTTAACAATGCAGGTACCAGGACTTCTCTTAAACGCAAAGGAGACCGTGATTCTGCAGTCTTGAGTTCAGCCATTGGTGTAACTTAGCTATGAACTCACTCATGCTTTGTGTCTCATGGTTTGAATCTTGATTTCAGTGGCTCAGTCCAGTTATAAATTCGTTTTCATTTGGTCAGGGACTGGTGAACTATGGCCAGAAGAGGTTGTATCACATTATATGAAGGACAACCAGGTCTGTGCGAGAGGAAGTGTGTGGAAGAGGATTAGTGAGAAGTGAGGATAATAAAAGCAAGGAAGCAATCAATAGCCGTTATATAGGCATCACTCTAGACCTCTGTGAAACCTCTTCATTTCTCCTCATCTTTCTCTATAAATTCTATGTAATTAAATTGGGCTTGGCATATTCTGCTCTTTAAGGTGGTCATTTTTTTGTGGCTACATATTTTATCTCCAAAAATCATGACGTTCAATTAAGTAAATGTTCTAGATATGGGAGAGGGCTACGTTCTCAGCCGGCAGCTCTTCTTCGCCAAGCCACAAAAAGTGAAGCCTTCTGAAAATTTCCTCCTGAAGTTGAGATATTTCTGTTACCCATTACACTACTGGGGAAGTAAGGAGAAGCGCTTTTGTGACAAATGTTGTGAGTAGATAAAAGATCTCTTTTTGAACAGGCTTTAATAATAATTGTGTTTTAAAAGACAAGCAAATACAAAGTACTGACATGGGGAAGTTTCGTGATATCATATTAAATGAAAAATTAGTTTCAAAACAGCATTTACAAAGGATACTGAGTGTGTGTGTAACTATGTGTTAGTGTGTGGGTGTTTGTATACAGATATTATATTTTAAGTGATCAGAAAAAAAAAAAAACCTCCAAAGAGAAATGCCAAAATGCTAAATCTGATTTTTCTAGAACAGTGGTTCTCAAAGTATAAATGTGCAGCATTGGTGTAACCTAGGAACTTGTTAGAAAAACAAATTATTTCTATTGAATCAGGAACTCTGGGAATTGGGCCCAACAATCTGAGTTTTAATAAGCCCATGAGCCCTCCAGGTGATTATGTTGAACACTCAAGTTTGAGAACCAGTACTCTAGTCTAAATGATATGATTACAGGTGATTTATTTTCTTCCTGGGACTTAATGAATATGTATTTTGTTTAAATTTATAAAGCACCATAAATGTTAATTTTCAAAAGAAGGATGCCTTCTAAATGGCCACATTATATACTTCTTTGTAAACCCTGCTCTTGCAGCAGTTATTTGCATACTAGATGCACAAAATGCATGCTGATGGCTTGATTCAAATTGGCTTCAAATTGCGCCTTCATTTCTACCATTTTCCGCACCCCCAAAAACGTATTGAATGTGGTCCACCTAGGTCAAGTTCATGGTTTGAACAACTTTAACCAATGAAATGTGAAACAATTTATTTTAATACATTTCCTCAGGGCTACAACATAAATAAAATTTATCTTGCATAAACTGCCATAGCTTGAGTGTAGAATTATTTAATTTATTTCAAAAATTCAAATCAGAATTAATGTAATACATTCTGAAAAATTCAGTGAACATTTTATGTTGAACTGGGTGTCAGCATTAATATTTCATTGCTATTCTTGAGTTTGTTGATGTTGTAGGTCAAATTAAAGGTCACTTAACAAGAGCAATTACAAGGAAGCAAGCAAGTTGCAAATTAGTCATGTCTTTGTGTATTCGTACTCCACCCATTCAGTTTTTCCAGCTCCTAAGGATTGTATAACAGTTGTTTTCCTTGTATATTATATACTCTGGGCAATATGAAGACATGGTCAGTTAACAAGAAGGAATTTTACAAAAAAGAAGCATGATAGAAATAATTTTTAGGAAGAAAATAAAGACTGCTCCAATAAGACTCAAAGAAACAGATATAAAAAGACAAATCACAATTTCTGATATAACAAAGAAATTGAAAAGAGAGTACAATAAAACCTTTTTTATTGTTTTGTCTTCTTTGGAGGTTATATAAATTTCTATATAATCTCTACTAATTCAGGTCATACTAATGTAGGATATGTTTCCCAAACCTCATTATTCTTGCTTTCCAAACTCTGACTACACCCTTGGTTTACAATACATAATCTTAGCACTTGATTATGTTAATCTATCGACTAAACTTAATTTTGTTTTTTTCTTTTTTTTTTTTTGAGACAGAGTCACGCTCTGTCACCCAGACTGGAGTGCAGTGGCGTGATCTCGGCTCACTGCAAGCTCTGCCTCCCCGGTTCACGCCATTCTCTTGCCTTAGCCTCCCGAGTAGCTGGGACTACAGGCGCCTGCCACCACGCCCGGCTACTTTTTTTTTTTTTAATTAGAGACGGGTTTTCACCCTGTTAGCCAGGATGGTCTTGATCTCCTGACCTCGTGATCCACCCACCTCAGCCTCCCAAAGTGCTGGGATTACAGGCGTGAGCCACTGCACCTGGCCAACTAAACTTATTTTTAATGACTTAAGATGTCAGTCTCGTTTACCCAATTAAAGGATTAGTATCTTGAGAGCCAAGAGAGGCAGTGGATGCTTCCTTTATACCATGTTCTTATTAAATAATGAAAAAATGATATTAATTGGTTGGGCCATGAGCCTTCTAGAAGCAGGGGTTAGCGTGTGATATCTGCGTTAGTTGTCTTGCATCATAACAAATTACCCCAAAACTCAATGACTTAAAACAATGCATATATATGATATCCGTTTATTTGGATTAAAAATTCTAGGCTCACCTTAGCTGGGTCCTATAATTCACAGTATCAGACAAAGCTAAAGTTAAGGAGTTTGATCAGGTACAGTCATCTCAATGCTTGACTTGGAAACAATCTGCTTCTACTCTCACTTGTAGTAATTTCTGGCAGGATTCACTTCCTCATTGCCTTTTGGACTGAGATGCTCACTTCTATGCCAGCAACAAATACATAGTTCTTAACATGGTCATGGAATAGCAAAGAGATTAGAGTCTGGAACAGAATGTGTGGTGGGGGAAAGAAATGGAAAATGAAGTCAGAGTGAAGGGTGGTGGAAAGATTATTTATGACAGTATTTCCCAAATGCCAATGTGCATACAAATAACCTGAAAATCTTTTTTTCTTTTCTTTTTTTTTTTTTTTTTTTTTTTTAGACAGAGTCTTGCTCTGTTGCCCAAGCTGGAGTGCAATGACATGATCTCGGTTCACTGTAACCTGTGCCTCCCGGGTTCAAGTGATTCTCCTGCCTTACCCTCCTGAGTAGCTGGAATTACAGGTGCATGCCACCACACCTGGCTAATTTTTGTGTAAGTAGAGACGGGGTTTCACCATGTTGGTCAGGCTGGTCTCCAACTCCTGACCTCATGATCCACCTGCCTCTGCCTCCCAAAGTGCTGGGATTACAGGCGTGAGCCACCGCACCTGGCCTAACTTGGAAATCTTTAAAAATGCAGATTTAAGTTCAGAAGGTCTGGGATGTGCCTGAGATTCTGCATGTTTAACAATGTGACATTCATATTGTTGTTTGGGGAATCACACTTTGGGTAGCAAAGAACGAGAATATTAGGATAATTACATAAGTTGCTGGCTTTTACTGTGAGCAAGGAGGGGAGCCATAGGAGGGATTTAAACAGAGAGTAGAGTTAGGAAGACCAATAAAAAGGTGATTGAAATAAGCAGGTGACAGGTGATAGCATCCTAGATAAAGGCAGCAACAGTGGACAAGTAAAATATGGAACACTTCTAGGTATATTTCTAAAGTAACATTGACAGGATTAGTTAATAGCTTGGTTGTTGTATGAGAGTGAGTAAGAGGAGTATAAAAGGACCCCAAGGTTTTTAGCTTAAGTAATAGGAACATGGTGATTGCTTTTTTCTGAGAAGGAGAAGACTGTAGGAGAAGCATATTTGTCAGGGGAGAATGATCAAGAGATTTTTACAATTTAAATTTGTTTTATGATATTTTTTAAATATCCAAATGAAGATGTTGAATATATAAGTCGGGAGTTCAGGGAATGGGTCATTACTGGAGATATAAATTTGGAAAGAATCAGAATATAAATGGAGTTTAAACTTATGGGCGTATACGGCATCACCTAGGGAGTGATTTTCAATAGAGAAGCTGTACAAGTGCTGAAACACCACAATTTTAGGAGATTTACAAAATGAAGCTAATCCAGCAAACAGGGAAAAATAGGTCAAGAGAGACATTTGTTGACAGAGATAAAAGGGCAACCAGTAACTTAGAAGGAAAATCGGGAGTCACCAGTTTCAAAAGTCAAATGAAGAAAGTGTTTCAATGATAAGGGAATGATGAATGATGTCAAACATAAAATACGGACTGTGAATTGGCCATCGGATTTATCAATCTGAAAGCCACTGATGGCCTTGACAAGAGCAGTTCAGTGGATTTGTGGGCACCACATACCTGACTGGAGTGAGCCAAAGAGAATGGGAGTGGATAAATTGATGACTGGTTGACTAGGTAATTATTTTGAGGCATATTTGCAGTAAATGGGAGCAGAGGCACTGGGTGTTCACTGGAGGGAAAAATAGGTCAGGAGAGGTATTTATCAACAGAGAAAAAAGAGGACCATGGTTGTAAGCTGAATGGGTATATCCAGCAGAGGGAGAAAATGTCATGATATAATAGTAAAAAGTTACAGTTATTGGAATGGTGTCATTGAGTAGGGAAGAGGGGATGGGAACTAGTGCACAGGAGGAACACAAGGCTTAGGAAAAAGTATGCAGGGTTCATTTATGCCACCATTTTAACAGAAGGGAAGGCAGCATACATGGGCAGAAAGTTCAGTAGATACATTGATGAAAGCTTGCAGAAGTTTTGTGAGTGTGCCCTTTTCTCAGTGAAATTAAGAAGCATGATTGTCAGCCAGGAAAGAATAAAATAAGTGATAGAGGTTTGATAGTGAGTAGAAGATCCAGAGAGTCATTGAGGCAATAGTAAAATGTCCTAGGGAAATAGAAAAATTCTGTATAGGAGTAACAACCCACTTAATATTAGTGCCCATGAGTTTAAAATTGGATAGCCTCTAATTGTTCTTTTTCCCCATGCATATTTTTTGTCACTCCCGTGAAATACCACATGCTGCCTTTAGGGTTGGTGAATTTTTTATGTGCATAATCCAAGTCTAATTGTGACATCTTGGGTCATGTATGTTACAATTCTTGTATTCTCTACATCATTGACCACAATACTTTAAACTTAATTGTTAATTGATTGATAGCTTTAGTGATAAATGAAAGATAATCATGGATTGTAGAGTTGGAAAAAACTTAGATATAATTAATTCCCAGCATTTTATTGTTGAAAAAATTGGGAATTAAATCAGTTAACAAAGTGGCCCAAGGTCACACTGTTAGTTGAGACCAGGAAACAAAAAATTGTAAGGATTCTTATGCTTTATTTTGAAATATCCCATTTCATTTTGGCATGCTTTGCTAAAACCACCAGGGTTCTAATAACACAAAATGAGAAACAGGAATCCACCTTGGTAATTTTTTTTTTTTTTGACACAGTCTCACTGTATCGCCCAGGCTGGAGTGCAGTGGTGTGATCTCAGCTTACTGGAATCTCTACCTCCCAGGTTCAAGTGATTCTCCTGCCTCAGCCTCCTGAATCCAAGTAGCTGGGACTCCAGGCATCCGCCACCACGCCCAATTATTTTTCGTATTTTTAGTAGAGATGCAGTTTCACCATGTTGGCCAGGCTGGTCTCGAACTCCAGACATTGTGATCCACCCGCCTCAACCTCCCAAAGTGCTGGGATTACAGGCACGAGCCACCATGCCCAGCCCCGCTTGGTAATTTTTTAACCTGAGCCATCTTAATGTAAACATCACTTCTTAATAAAAAAAAAAAGCCATCATTGTTAGGTGTTTCCTACCTGGTAGGCACTGTACTAAAACTTTGCACAAACGATTTGTTAAAGTTCTCACATCACCACGTAGAGTGAGAATTCTTGTACAGATGGGGAATTTGAAGCTTACCTAATATTAATGACCTTCCTAAAAGCACACAGTTAGTAAAAGAATCAGAAATTCAAACCCAAACCCAGCAGAAGCTAGTGACTCTCAAACTCTAAAAGGCATCAGAATCACCAGAAAAGTGATTGTTAAAACACAGATTCTTGGGCCCCATTCCCCAAGTTTCTTAGTAGGTGTGAGATAGAATTCAATAGCACATATGTCCAACAATTTCTCATTTAAATGCTGTTGCAGCTGGTCCAAGGACCTCATTTTGAGAACTGCTGCATTAGTTTGTCTTCCTCATAGAGCAGAAGCCTCCTGAATTTTGCTCCAAAAGTTCCTTTTTTTTTTTAATTCTCTTCATCACTATCCTAATTTAAGCTCTTTGTTCCCTACTCCATTCCCTGTCACATCTTAGAGCATTGATATTCTGAATACTTCTCATACTTCCTACAGTGGAGTGAATGAAATATCAGGTAAAAGTTACATGTTTTCTGTTATTAGAAAAAGCTATGATCCTAACTTTTTTATATTCTTGTTTTTTAGTTTAATTATTTCAGTTTCTTTATCATAGTATGAACATTTTTGATAGTTTAAAAATTATAAATAATAAAAGTTGAATAAATAAAATTCTCATAAATCAATTTATCTAGAAATTATTATAGCTTATTAAGAGCTTACATAGCTTTAAAATATTTAAGAAAAGCCGGGCGCAGTGGCTCACGCCTGTAATCCTAGCACTTTGGGAGGCCGAGGCGGGCAGATCATGAGGTTAGGAGTTCGATACCAGCCTGGCCAACATGGTGAAAACCCATCTCTACTAAATATACAAAAGATTATCCAGGAGTGGTGTCGTGCACCTGTAATCCCAACTACTCGGGAGGCTGAGGCAGGAGAATCACTTAAACCTGAGAGGCGGAGGTTGCAGTTAGCTGAGATTGCACCATTGCACTCCAGCCTGGGTGACAGGGCGAGATTCCATCTCCAAAATAATAATAATGATAATAACAATAATAAATAAGTAAATAAATTTAAGAAAAAATTTCATACATGTTCAAGAAAAATATTCAGACTGTTAGAATTGCTTCTTATGTGAGTGTACTGTGCTCTATCTTTTCCTACTTGTATCCAAAACAAATATCTTTACTAAATCAGTCACTCTATATTGAAATTCTCATCAGCTCATGAGTCAGATCAAGGATTTTCAATGAATCCCCATTGCCTAATAAATTAAATTCAAACTGAGCACATAAGAATTAGAGATATAGAACATGATATCAGTCTACCCAGTCTGGTCTTCCAATTCTATCTCCCCATGTCCTATTCAAAACATGATTACACTACTTCTAAATATGTCCAGATTTTAGGACTATCAAGCCGTTTATCATGCAATCCCATTTTCCTGAAATATTCTAGGTTTTTTGAAATTCTACCACTTTCTCCCCACTTAGATTCAAGCCATCTCCTCTACGAGGGCTTTTCTAAACTTTTAGCTAGCTATATTTCTCTCTCCTTCTTTGAATCTTTTGCAGCAAATGTTGGTTTTTATGTGTGCTCTTCAAGATGATACAGATATGGAGAACTCAAAAAGTGACCAGATTTAAACCCAGATGTGAATAATTATTTTCACTTATTTGAGTTTTCAGCTTTGGTTTTCTTGTTGATTACATGAAGTAATAATATTCATGTTGTAGAGAAATTCTAAGGATTAAATTAAGTAATACATTTAAGAGGCCATGGCATATTCTTATTAAAGGGTTCTCAGTAAATGTTAGTTCTCATAATATTCATTGATCTTCTAGTTATAAGCCACAGAAATCTTAGTCAAATTACCATGAGAAAAGAGGGAATGTAATGTTTCTGTCTCAAATGACATCATTAGAATTTTTTCTATACGTATCTTTGTCTTTCTAATTGGCTTTATTATGTGGACTTTTATTCATGTATATCTAGATGGATATTTTCATTATTACAAATAAATATTTATAGCAACAATTATTTGTATACATTTCTTTTGAGAGCAGTATACATATATATGTATATACACACTTATGTATATATATACAGATATATATATACACAGATATATATATATACAGATATATATATACAGATATATATATATACACAGATATATATATATATACATATACATGTTTTGAGTTAAATTGTGTCCTCTAAAATTCATATGATCAAGTCTTAATCTCTAGTACCTCAGAAAGTGGCTTTATTTAGAAAGAGTGTAATTGCAGATGTAATTGGTTAAGGTAAGATCATACTGGAGTTAAATGAATTGGAAGACGAGATTGAACACACTAATTGATGCCATATTGTATATCTCTAATTTGTATGTGTTTGGTTTGGATTCACTTTATTAGGCAATGGGGATTCATTGAAAATTCTTGAGCTGAGCCATGAACTGATGAGAATTTCAATTTAGAGTGATTGATTTAGTTAAGATATGTGGTTTGGATACAAGTAGGAAGAGACAGAGCACATTCCATTCACACAGGAAGCAATCATTCAAAAGTACAGTGGGCATCTAATTCAATATGATTAATATTCTTCCCCAAAAGGGAAATTTGGACACAAAGACATAAACCTAGGGAGAATGCCATGTGAAGATGAAGGAAGAGATCTATAATCCAAGGAATGCCAAATACTGCAAGGAAACCACCAGAGGCCAAAAGAGACATGAAACAGGTTTTTCTTCACTTCATTCAGAAGAAACTAACTCTGTCTGATACCTTCATCTAGGACTTCTAATCTCTAGAACTCTAAGGCAATACATTTGCTTTTTTAAGCCACCCAGTCTGTACTACTTTGTTATGGCAGCCCTAGCAAGCTAATACAACATATTTATAAGATTATCTATCTGTCTATCTATCTACCTATCTTCTATGTATCCATCTACCAATTCCTCTATAAATATATTGGATATATGTGTATATATATATATATATATATATATATATATATATATATATACATGTATGCATATGTTTGTTTATGTGTGTGTGTTCTTGATTAACATCTTTCTGAAATTTCCAGTAAAAAATGAAACAGAACAAAACAAAAACTTTGATTTCTATTAGTGTTCTTACAGCACAGAAGTTTCTGACAAACTCTACTGGATCAAGCTGGACATGGTAACACACACCTGTAATTCCAGTGCTTTGAGAGACTGAGGCAGGAGAATCACTTAATGCCAGGAGATGGAGACCAGCCTGGGCAATGCAGTGAGACCCTATCTCTACAAAAACATAAAGCAATTAGCCAGGCACAGTGGTGTGCACCTGTAGTCCCAGCTACTTGGGAGGCTGTGGCAGGAAGATCAATTAAGACCAGGAGCTTAAGGCTTCAGTGAACTATAAATGCACCATTGCACTTCAGCCTGGGCAACAGAGTGAGACTCTGTCTCTAAATAATAATAATAATAATAATAATAATAATAACAATAAATTTTTTAAAACTCTACTGAAGCCCTTTCTGAGGTTTAGTCCAAGCACCGTGGAGGATATGGTTCTTTGGTTTTCCTGTCTGTGTCTTACACTCATGGGAATATAATTGACAGCCTCATCGTAACTGCATTTATTGAAAGTGGTATTTTCCTCAACAAAGGTATTCTGGCTTACCAGAACATGTCTACTACAGTTTTTCCCTTTTCTTTCTTTTAATATTATAATTTTTGCTGCCTGATACATTGGGTAACAACTAAAACTTGAAGATGCAGACTTTGTGTTAGTCATCTTTTTATCCCTTATATCAAAAACTTTATACAAGGAAATATTTCAATAAAAGTACTGGGTTAAAGTTAATCTAACTAAAAGGAAAAAAAAAAGTAAACCAAAAAATAATGCAGAAATATACACGCTCAGAGAAGTAATCTGCAAAATACAAGGGGGAACATTGTCTCAGGAAAGCAGGCTATTAGAAATTTTCATTTTCTGATCTCCTTTCATTCAGAATTCCAGATAAAGCTCTCCATAAATCCTTATGTAGCATTTATTTTTACTAATAATTTCAACATGTGGATTAGAAATTAAATTTGTGACAGCTCTCAGAAGCATTGTCCAGGCCTTAATGCACATATGTGTTACCCAGGATCTTGTTAAAATGCAGATTATGGTTAAGTACACATGGGATTGCTCTAAAATTCAGATTTCTAACAAGTTCCAAGATGGAACTATTGAAGCTCCTGTGTAGGCCACACTCTGAGTAGCAATAACTTAAACTTGAGCACAAGGTGTGCACCAAATCCAGCTGTGGATGTATTTAGCCAGCGCAAGACTTCAATTTAAAAAAAATGAATTAAAATGTCTTCTTATGAACTTGAATGCACCCATTTGTCCAATACCTTCTTTATTACTTTAAAACCTAAGAATTCACAAATTTAAATTGTCAACTAGCTGACAGTGAATGTTTGAGGTTTAGATACCTGCTCATTGATTTTCTTCATTTGTACCAAATGATCCCAGTGACTCATGTGAATGTTTCTAGGGCAGGCTCTCAGTGAGATGCACCCTCTCTGGGCCTGCAAAAAGGGTAAGAGATTTCTGTATTTTTGTTAAAATATTTGAGTTCGTTGAGGTCTTACTTCAGTCATTTCTAGTAGTTTCTATTCTCCCTAAATGGATGGAATATATATTATGTTGTCAGTGGCAGGGAGGAGGCAGTAGAACAGTGAAGTGTTGGTTTGCTGGATTTTAATTTTCAGAGAACAGCAGATAGTCTACAACCTTTTAGACTTTCTCTTTAAGAACTTGCCATGTCCAGATCAAAGGAATTTATTAGGCTTTTCGCTCTCCTGTTTTTTTTTTTTTTAGCTCAAAATGAACAAATTTTCTAGTACAAAAGAAATGCTTTAAAAGAGTTCTTTTAGTCTTTATTTGAAATCTCCTGCTCCCCTTCAGTTCATAGATGTGTCGTACACTGAATGGAGGAATCAGACTACTACACTTTGATCATTTCACTATCTTGTTTGATTAGTGTTTTCAAACTATGGAGTTTATCAGCAGGGGGCAGGTTGATCCCTGTGGCTTATAATGGGCAAAGTATGGGGGAAAAATAGGTTTTTAGAAATCGTTTAAGATCAGTCAGTTTCCTCCTTCTTCAAGGTTTAAAAATAACATCATGGACAGATAGACTTTGACACAGAATAAGCTCAGATATTTCCAAAGGGAAAACTGACCAGCATGTACAGTGCACTTTTTTCCCTCCGTCTTTCTCTCTTTAAAATCGTGACTTCTAGTCCTTCGATTATTATAAACTATAATCAAACTAAAAAAAAAAAAAACAGAAGCACGAGGTACAACTGCTCAATTGTAATTTTCATTTACTGAGCAAAGACCACTTTCAGAATGAAAGTTAAGGTGGTTAAATGAGATTTTAAGAATTCAGCTTTTTGGAGGAAGGCATTGAATTGTATTGCATGAGGCAATTTTAACCATTGCTGTGAACTTGGGTTATTCATCCTCCCCTTAGGGATTGTCAATTTGCAGTTCCATACCTCTAATTCAAGAGAAATAGCTTTGCTTCTGATTTAATAAATAACATCAACACATAGGCTTTCTTTTTTGGTATTTTGGAGGTATCCTGAGTGGCAGTGCTGTGCAGGTTGTCAGCTTGTGACTTTTTACAATGGCTGGCAACAGATGATTAGCTCAAGGACTAGCTTCCTTTGTAGATCTGGGGAATGCTATCTGATTATGGATTTTTTAATTTGGGAGTAAATGAGATCATGTGGGACTTTCCAGTTTAAATTAAGTAGTTTTAAATGTGAAATGAGCACAAAGGACCAAATGAAAAAGATGCTAGTTGGGCCAGATTCTAGACAGACAAATTTGCCTTAGGCACCTCCTTGCTTCCTGATGTTCTTCTCTGAGGCAGCCAGTGGATGAGTAGGAGAAGGGGTTGTCTGTCTCTTAGGGTTAATCATGATATGAAATGTCCATGTCTTTACCTAGTTTATTTTCCAAAGCTCTTTTTTTTCTCCCCTAAGTATTTTTCATCTCAACTTTATATAAAGGGGAGAATTCTATATAAACTACTTCATACTCAAAGTGAAAGACCACTAGCTCAAATAACCAGATGAAGAGAATTTTAATGAAGAAAATCTCAGGCAGCTTTACAAAATAAAATGGAGAATAAAATGGAGATATTTGGGGATTTATAGACCTTCCAAAACTCATTTTTTTAACTTTTACCTTATTAGTCAATAACAATTTTAAGTTTTAATTTCAGGTAGAGACAGTAAATATAAATACATGAAATATTCTATTCTCTTTATCTGAAAGCAAGATGCCATTGTATGTTATTATTCTCTCTTAGAGTTAAACATACAGTAGGTAATTATTCATTGTATCTGCCTTAATTCAAAAAAGATTTAATATATTTGTGTTCTTTTGGGACTTTTAAAAGTATACAAGAATATGTATTCTATATGTACCAAATTTCTACATCAGTTAAATCTCTCAAAATGAAATTGCTAACCATATCACATACAATGCTTTGATGGAAGGATTTGGTACATGTTTGTTTATTAATTATTGGTAAACAATTACTTTTTCTTTTAGTCATTAAAATTTTGACAGTATAGGTGGGTTTTTTTTTTTTTTTGGTACTTAGACATATCAAGAATGGGATGATGCCAGCAATGTGGTAAAAAATGAAATACAATTTCAAGAGATTTCTCTTAGGAATTCATCTCTTCTGCATTTACACAATTGCTGCTTCACTCCATTACTAATAAGCACTAAAATGATATCTTTGCCTTAAGTATTCTCTCCCACTCCCTTTCCAATATAGCCTCCAAATTGAGTCCAGCATTTTCTTCGTAAAATAGAAAACTTCTCAAACCACTCCTCTCCCTCTGATTTTTAAATAGCTCTCCAGCTGTTGCCAGCACAACTTTCCCATGTAATCACTCTACACTTTCACCATTCCTCCCAGATGGAGCAACTTCAGGTCTCTGCAAATGATACTTTTGTCAGGCTTTTGTACATGCTGTTCTTTGCCTGAGGACTTTGCATTTATTCTTCAAGAATATGCCTAACCATCTTACCATCTGGGAAGTGTTCGTTGACACCTTTTCTTCCCACCTATCCCAAGAATATTTAACACTTCCTCCTCTATAGTTCCATTAGATATTAAATATAGCACTTACCATAGTAGCTTGTGATTGTTTTATTACTTGTTTCTCTACTAAAATATGAACATCGTGAGAGCCAAGAACATATTTTATTTCTGGAAAATTCACAGACCCATATTATACCACACAAGTACAAAATTTTAATAGTTGCCTAGTTCCTTTTTCTCATGCTTGAATCCTACCCTTTCTGGGTGCCACATCTTAGAAATGGCACTAATATTACCTAGTTTTCGTAACTAGATATTTGGTGTATTTCATGGAATATGCAATTTGTGGGAACTGCAAACGTAGTGGTAGGTGGTTCAAGCTATGTATGAATTAGAATCCAGAGACCAGCTCTTACAAAGTACACGATCTTGGGTAATGTCCTTAATCTTTGTTTCTGCATTTCTTTAACTCTATAATGAGGATGACAATAGTACCTTCCTACTTTTTAGAGTTGTGGTGAAGATTACTCCATACTCCCTTGAAGTGAAATAAAGCTGAAAATTAACACACAGGCTTGCTGCCTAAAGTCCCTTTAAATTTAGGCTCATAGCCTTGTTGGTTTCTAGCAATCCTATCATATTCCCACTCAGCGCTTTTTTTCATTAAGTTAGATGACCATGTTATTCTCTCTTTTCTCTTCACCTTCCACATATCTCTCATTCTTGCTTTCATCTGGTGATTCTGCTTCCTATTTTCCTGAGAAAAATAAAAGCAACCAGAGTTGAAGGTTGCACAGCATGCCACCAACACTTTCTTCCCCCAACAACCTCTGTGCTCACTAAGCTGCTTTCTGTCTTGCTATTACTAGCTGTGACTAGCAAAGACCAACTCCTTCAATTTTGTATGGACCCCACCTTCTGTCACATGGGACTGCTGCAGAGCTCTAGCAATGGCTCCTTCTTTTTCCTCCATCAGATGTTTTCAACTTCCCACAGGATCTTTCTTAACAGCATAAAAGCATATTTCCCTCATCTTAAAAAAATTATGATTGAATCCACTTCCTTTGTAGCTACAGCCCCATTCTCTCCTCCATATATTTACCACAAAGATCCTCAAAAGAGTGGTTTATGCTATCTGTACTTGTCTTTTATTCTTGTGCCTCCTTGCTACCTTAGACTCATTGCAACTGGCTTTCTACTGCCATCAAACTGTTCTAGTCAATGTCCGTGGTCAATTTAGAATTTTCGTCTTACGCAATTAAGCAGAAATATTTTATGCACTTGGTTACTGACTCCTGTGTTAATGAAATAAAATGAAAATTTTATTGATTTGCCAGCCACAAATTCAACTTCTATGTTTCTTTTCTTCTCATAGGATGATTCTCTTCTGTCTCCTTGAATGCTTCCTTCTCAACTACTGTATCTCTAGACTTTGGCTAAGTCCCTGGACTCCTCATTTCTATCTACTTTCATTTTATTGGGTAATGTTTAGTTCCATGCTTTTAAATATCTCCCATGACCCCGTGATTTTCAAACTTATATCTATAGTATGAACCCTTCTTCTGAACTTCAGACACATATATTCAACCAGCAACCACAAGTTCTATAGCTACAGGCATTTTCAAGTAATCATGTTCAAAATTCTGTCCTTCTCTTCCCCAAAATGTGTTTCTTTCAAATGATTTCGCATTTCAAGTGTAGCAATTCCATCCTTTTAGTTTCTAAGGACAAAAAACTTGGAAGCATTCTTTACACCTCTTTCAATTACACCCTACATCAGATGCATCAACAAAATTCCTTTGTTTCTGCCTTCATTATATACCCAAAATCACTCCAACACTCACTACTTTCCCATGCAACTAACCTGGCTTAAGCCATCATCATTTTTTTTCCTTATAATAGCCACTAATAGATCTCTCTGATTCTTCCATTACTTCTCCTGCAAACTATTCTTAAGGCAGCCAGAGTGCTTCTTTAAATATACAATTAATTGAATTTCCTTTCTCTGTTATCTTTCCATTGTCTTCCAACCTAGAGTCCTTAGATCAGACATTTGCTGTCTCTTATCCCATCTGCAGGAATACCTCTATAATTGAATTTCCCTTTTCGTTTAGCACTTTACTAAAATGGCAGTCACCCCTGCCCCCCTTATGATATTTTTGTCCTCCTTTTCAGATATTTTTTCCCATTGCATTCATCACTACTGATAATAAATCATTAATTTACTCACTTTAATTTTGTTCTCTTTCCACCAACTAGAATGTAAGCTTCATGAGATAAAGAATTTTTGTCTATTTTGTTTACTGCAAAATTTTCAGAACTTTAAAAGTGCTTGGAACATAATAGGGTTTCATTCAATACTTGTGAATAATTAAGTGCATTAGGAGCTGTTATTATTTAAACGGTCTGTTTCATATTATCTGATATTAATTACAAGCATTTTCAATTTGAAGCCTGCTTGATTGAATCTATCACATTGTACATGCTCAGTCATTTTAAAAATAATCACTTTATCATATTTGGAATGGTGATTTCTAAAATCTCATAATACATTTAAGATTTTAATTTATATTTATGTAAGACGAATTTAATTAATACATCTCCAACTTTATTAAATATAATTTAATTTTAATAATTCTGAAAACATTTTAAAGGTTGTAATGACTTAGAATCATAATTGGCCTGCAATGGATATGTGTTTGCCTTTAATTTGCATTGCTGTTTTATTATACACAGGAACTTAGTTGTTATTTAACATATATTTTTAGTAACAGTTAATTTTGTTTTGAATTTAACTCTTTCAAGTTAAAGTGGATGGCAGAAATTTAACTCTGACATCTAAGCTGTGCTACCTCATTACTTTGCTACCAATAGTTTTAATGAAAACAGAAGGACCCTTTCCTGAGTGTTTTTATTCCTTTTACTAAAGTCTTTTGTGTCTTTAAAAGCATCCTTTGTCTTTCTGGTAGTCCACCATTTCCCATTGTTTCAATAGCAGTGTTAATACATGTCACTTCAAACTTTTGCTTATATTGTACCTGTCTTCACCTTTTACTAAATTTTTAACTCTCATTCACACTGGCTGTAATATGATTCTCCCGTCGTTTCCAACCTCATCCCAATCTTTTCAAATAAATCTTATTATGGGATCCAGAGCAATAAGTAATAATGAGAAAGGCTTTTTTTTTCTTGATCTCTTTGAGATAACAAGGGTATTCAATTAGGAAAAGAAGAAGTCAAATTGTCTCTATTTGCAGATGACATGAGTGTATATTTAGAAAACCCCATCGTCTCAGCCCAAAATCTCCTTAAGCTGATAAGCAACTTCAGCAAAGTCTCAGAATGCAAAATCAATGTGCAAAAATCACGAGCATTCCTATACACCAACAACAGACAAACAGAGAGCCAAATCATAAGTGAACTCCCATTCACAATTTCTACAAACAGGATAAAATACCTAGGAATACAACTTACAAGGGATGTGAAGGACATCTTCATGGAGAGCCATAAACCACTGTTGAAGGAAATAAGATAGGACACAAACAAATATCAATTGATATTTCAGTGTTACGTATCTCAATGTTAATATCTCACTGCGAAATTGTTGCAGCCTTTGTTATTCCACCTATGATGACATCCTGGAACCACAACATTCAGCCCCAATATCTCTATCAGATTTAGACATGCTACCTAGCTATAAGCCTGGTAAGGGGAGAAAAAGTCATATCTTTTCCTCACTCATCACAAGGTTTGTGGCTGAGACCTCTGTAACAAAAGAGAGATTAAGAAAAGAAAACACACAAAAAAATATTTAATATATTTTACATGACATAAGAGACATCAGAAATGAAGACCTCCCCAAACCAGGAAAAACTATATTTTTATGGACACTCATGCAGAAGAGAATAAAAGGGTATGACCTAATGGTAATAATCCGAGGGGAACTTAGAGAGGCCTGTTTGTTCAGATTCTTCTTAGTATCTGTGTTGATTTTTCTTCCTTCGATATGGGACTGAACAACTGTCCCGTGAAGATCTTCAGGGGAGAAGGGAAGGAGAACATCAGAGAGTGATCTTCCTAGGTTGTATGGCAGGAAGAAATGGAAAAATGGCTGGGGCAGGAGTTTCTCAAATGCCAGGGTATTTTGGGGTAGTGTTTCCTGCACGCCATCACCAGTTAAGGGATGTCATAGTTTTCCAAGCTACCCTGTACATATATTCTAAAATAAAACTCTAAAATTATATTTTTCCGTGAAGATTTTACTGCTAATGATAGAAAGCAAATAAATAAACAAACAGGATATTACAAGATGAGCAATGGGAAATAACAAGACTGCTTACATTCTTATAACAGAAGAATCTAGTCTCCATCTTAGATTTCCTGGTAAGATTTCCTGGTAAAATCATAATAAGAGCAGACAGGAAGTGTAGCTTAATCCATCTCCTTCTAAGAGTAAAAGTCTCAGAGGAAATCACTTTAAATTCACACTACATAATAGAAACATAGGAGGAAAACAAACATAATTTTAAACTCTTCGGTAGCCATTTTGTAAAAATTATTTTTAAAAGACAACATTAATTTTAATAATATGTTTAGCTCAATATATTTTAAATGCTATTATTCCAACCTGTAATCAATATGAAAATTATTACTAAGATATTTTAGATTCTTTTTCCAGTATTAAGACTTAAAGTCCAGTATGTATTTTCTACTTATAATCCATTCAGTCAAGACTAACCACATTTCCAGTGCTCAGTTACATTACCAGGCTAGTGGTTGCCATATTAGCCATTGCAGCTTGAAGTAAAATAGGTATAAGTGAAGAGCACTCCTCTTTGATTGGAGAACACAATTTGCATTCCTAAAGACCTAATTCAGGATAACTCTAGGGGGATTTCAGCCAAATCCAGATGTCTCTCTGAATTTTCTCTCAGTGTAGCAAAGGGACTACTCAGGGAGTATTCTGATTTTAGGAACTACTAGTCTTCTAATCTTCTTGCCCCAGTGGCTTTACATCAATTCAGGACAGGCAAAAGAGACCTAAGGGAAAAGAAATTTGTCACGTCAGACCTGCTTACTAACTAAGTAAGCTTAACTCCTTAAATCTCTATTTCCGCATCCATACGATGGAACTCATAATATTATCTTTCTCATAGGATAGTTGTAGGAGTTAAATGACATCAGGAAGATAAGAGATAAGCCCAGCACCTTGGTAAATAATTATTGCACAATAAATGCCAGCTCTTACTATCTATTTCTGTATATGTGAAGGCTAATTTAACCTAAATACATATTAACATTGTTGACTCATAGTAGACCTTCAACAAACGTTGGCTTATAGGAATTGCCTACAAATTAAATGTCAAGTCGTTTTTATAGCAAGTTTTCCATATTTTGAAATTTTAAGAATCTTAGAAAATTACCACTTATGTAATGGTGGTGGGCAATGGTGGAGATGGCCCTTTCCTATCTGCTCATCCTCCTTCTGATAGCAAAATCAGAAAATGACAAAGACTTCAAGCACCCAGCATTACTGTTATCTTCCCTGAGAATGAGACAGAATAATCATGTTTTCCTAGTACCAAAGCAAAAAAAAAAAAAAAAAAGCAAACAAAAACAAACACAAACAAACAAAAAAACACCTCAAATAAATCTAGTGTTTGGAAATAATAAATACATTAGATTTTCTTTGTTCAATGAACAAGGTGGTTTATGATTGATATGGTTTGGCTGTGTCCCCACCCAAATCTCATCTTGAATTGTAACTTCCAAAATTCCCATGTGTTGTGGGAGGAACCCAGTGGGAGATAATTGAATCATGGTGGTGTGTCTTTTCCATGCTGTTCTCATGATAGTGAATAAGTCTCAGGAGATCTGATAGTTTTAAAAATGGGAGTTTCCCTGGACAAGCTTTCTCTCTTTGCCTGCTGCCATCCATGTAAGATGTGACTTGTTCCTCCTTGCCTTCTGCCATGATTGTGAGGCTTCTCCAGCCCTATGGAACTGTAAGTCCATTAAACCTCTTTCTTTTGTAAATTGCCCAGTCTCGGATATGTATTTATCAGCAGTGTGAAGATGGACTAATATAATAATTCATCTATTTGAGTGTAAATGCTCATGACATGTAGTTTATAAACTTTTGATTATGTGCAATGTCTCTGGATATTCACATTGTTTTAATAGTCAAATACATTTATTTCTCCAGGAAGAAATGAATATGGATTTCATAGGTCATATGCCTAACTCATCTTTTCTCCCAGATATTAAAATTCCATTTTCCTTTTTATTTTAAGAGCTGAGATAATTTCACCTGATAAAATGTAAATGTGGCTAACATATTCTCTGTCTTGTTCATTAAGAAGCTTGTTGCCTTTAAACTTGTTTACTGTACCTGTTCCTACCCTCAACTTCATTTCCCATCATTTTATCTGACATTTTTAGTATTCTTCTTGTTTTAAGGAAAGTTTCTTTCTTCCATAATTGGTAAGATAAAAAAAAATAAGCCTTAACAAGTAGTTCATTTTTTACTTAGATGGTTCTGCAGCCATTATTTGCAGCAGAAAGCACATTCTTTCCCTGAGGCCAAAACAATTATCTGTGACATCATAAAGAAGTGAAACTGGCACATGTGAAAAATGCTTGATGCATTTACTTGATGAAAAGAGGAGAAAAAGGTTAAAGGTCATTTTGTAAGTGGTATTGGGAAGTATTGAGCATATAGAGTGTGACACTACAATGCATAGATATACCTCTTTAAAAAGTGAACACAATTATACTTGCATTCTTGAAATCAGAGCAATGGTCAGTCAAGTATTTATGATTGTCATAGAATGAAGAGCAATGTGTGTTTTCTGCCTGGAAGAATCTCATCACAGTGTGAATGACTGTCTTTTAGAGCACTTTCAAAGAAACAGAAATGCCTATAATCAACCATAATACTTTTGTAAAAGACAGATAAAATAGTATAAGAGGATAGCATCCCTTTCTTTCATGGATCCCTAGAATGATAAATCTTTAAGCCTAAGGAAATATAAATATAACCAATACCCAGAAAACTAAATAAAAAAGAAAGCAGTAGCAGCTGAACATAGAAGCATTTAACATGGGGCAAACAATGCACACTCTTTTTTATGTATATTTTCTTTGTTTCTTCTTTTTATTGTTGTCGTTGTCGTTAAACCCTAGACCCTTATGATGAAGGAGCGGCAGCATGATATGAGGGAAATATTGCCCTGGGACAGAAGAATCTTGGGTTCTTTTCTCAGTTAGGCTACTAACTAAACCGTGATCTCAATGAACTCAATTTCTCCCCCTGGGTTTCAGTTTCCTTATCTGTAAATTGAAAAAAATTAGATTAGAAGCTCTCTAAGGTCTCTTTCAGTGCAAACATTCCCCATTTCTAATTTTACATTACAAATACTTGTGGTCCCAGCGGAAAAGAAATAGAACCTACAAATCTGGCCTCGGTAAATAGTGTACAATAAATGAACAATACTCTTTGTGTGCTTTCTCTGATTCCTGTTCACATATGAATTCTTGCTATAATTAAAAATGAAGCTATATTGTTTTGTTTTTCAGGAGAGAATAACTAAGTAGAAACAAATAATACAATAACACATATTTGTTTTATTCTATCAACTAGTAGAAAATATGCCTTAAATTTTCTTGTTTTTATTCCATCTCAAATATCCCAAACCTAACCCTCATTTTAAAAGCCTGCCTTACTCAATAGTCATTAAACATGATTTCAAAATTTTTGCGCTCTGCTGATGGCATGTCAGTGTCACATTCTTCCCACTTACTAAGACCTGTCCATCCACAGCCTTCCATCCTTCCTTCATAACTCAGCTTAGATCTAAGCAAATCAAATTCAACTTCTCAGCAACTTGCAGGAAAAAAGCACCAAGAATATAAATCAATAGCAGTAAGAGCTAAACTTGAAATGTTAACATAAAAAGATTTTAACATGATGGCCATGTATGATCTGAAGTTGTATGGAAGGAAGTGTTATCTCTGAGATAGAGATATATGACACAAAGAAGAGAGATGAGGAAGTAATTTAGCAAGACAGCAGAGACATGAAGAATGTTGTCATTCATAGCATAACAATGGAGTGACTATACTGTGGTCACCTCTGTCTGTGGCCTTATTCTTTCTGTATTTTTACTCTGTTCCTGCCTTTCCCAAGTTTAATTGCTTGGGTCCTTCTCGACCATAGATTGATCACCTCTCCATCTCTTTCTCCCAGCCTGCCAAAGAAAAGTCAAAGTGTGATTAGTTTGTGGCAGAGTGATTCAGTGATATTTTTTTCCAACTAGTCCATTTAGGCCAAATTTCTAGAAGACTTGGCCTTTCATAGCCAAAGTGGGCATTAAAAGTGCTTTGTTGGACAAAAGAACCGCCAGTTCCTGGAGGTAAATAATGTTTCTCCTATAAAAGGAAGACTCTGCAGTGTTTCTATTAAATTGCATTTTTTCTTCTTTACACTTATAATAAATCTTCCATCACTTGGAGCAACACAAATGAATCTCTGTAGCTTACAATCACAGAGACCAACTAAAACAATAAATATTTCTTGCTTGTTTTCAAAGCTTGTGTATCCTGGAATGGGGGTGGAGGAGAATAGGCTGTATGATATTTCTTTCTCCCATAACTGTAATTGCTTGAGAATTATAGTAGAGCAACAAACCTGTTTTCCAACAGTATATTAATTTAATTATTACTTTATAGCTGAATACCACTCTTTCATTTCCAGTGCAGTTACAACTGTTTTAAATATATACATGGTGAATAGCTGCCAAGTGACTGAAGTGAGAAGTGAAAACTAGATGACCTAACTTTGGACCCTCTTTCCAATTCATCGCAGTACCTTTAACCCTACATTGTTTTTCCCTTCTCCTTCCCCTTCTCTAACTCTATGTCAGCCACACTGGCCTTTTTCCTAGCTCTTAAAGACATGAAGCGACCCTCTTACACCAGGACCTTTGCACTTGTTGTTCTCTATGCCTGGAAAATCTCCCCTCAGGTATACGCATAGCTGAATCTCAATTTATGCACACCTCTGTTTAAAATTTATCTTCTCATATGTGTACCCTTTGTGTATATACTCATTCTGAATTAGCATCACTCAGTATTCTCTGTCCCCTAGTATTTCTTTTTCATAGGCCTTAACACTAATATATAAGACATAAAATTATCTCATATATTTACTGGGTTATTATTACATTTTCAAAATTGATGTCTGGAAAGGAAGTTTGATGAGTGTAGAAATGTTGTCTCTTCTGTTCACTGCAATATCCTAAGGTCCTACTATAGTATCTGTCATAGGGTAGGTGTTCAATAAATATTTATTAAATGAATGAAGCAAGACATTAATGTAGGAAAATGTGTTGGAAGTCTCATATAGTTATTCAAACATAAGTCAAGAAAGAAATAAACAGACAAGTAAAATTTACATAATTCTAAAATTTACTTCTAGGATGTCTTTTTTTTTTTTTTTTTTTGAGACAGACTCTCGGTCTTTCGCCCAGGCCAGAGTGCAGTGGCATGATCTCTGCTCACTGCAAGCTCCGCCTCCCGGGTTCACGCCATTCTCCTGCCTCAGCCTCCCGAGTAGCTGGGACTACAGGTGCCCGCCACCACGCCTGACTAATTTTTTGTATTTTTAGTAGAGACGGGGTTTCACCGTGTTAACCGGGATGGTCTTGATCTCCTGACCTTGTGATCCGCTCGCCTTGGCTTTCTAGGATTTCTTAATGATATGCACTAAAGGTTTTCCCTCTGCTAATACTGATACTCAGTGGCTTGGTTAAAATAACCATTTGTTCTCTATTTATTTAAATATTTATATTTCTTAAAGTGAAATATAATTCAGATCAATACTCTTTTGGAAGAGAAAAAATAAACTACATCCTTGAGTTTCTGATAATTTTTATGAATCAAAAATATTATAACTGAAAACATTCAGTTTGCCACCATTCATCTGATTTTGAAACCCTTTTAAAATTATAACACAAGCATAAAAATAGTTATAAAATACCTCTACTTTCTGACATGTTACAGAAATGGTTATGTGTATAAAGAAGTGTGTAAGCAATCTTAGTGTCGGGCTATTTAGAAAATGCACAGATTTTTCATTTTTATTTAACCATCTAAATTGAATCTGATTTTGCAAGTAAGCACTAATGGCACTTTAAAAGCCTGGTGAAAGCAGAATGAGTGTAGAGTGATATAATACCCATGTTTCTGTAGTTTTCCCCTTGACTAAATAGAAGAGCTGTGTTAATGCAATATTTCTTGCCTGTCTGTTTATCAAACCATGTTAGGGTCAGGCTTGCTGGGACTAAACTAGTAGCCTTTGACTATAAAGAATGTCAGGTAAATGGATGTAAATTGTCTGTCTTCTGACCTAAGGACACAGCACCAGGGGACAAGTGTTCCACAAACTCAGCCCATTAACCAAAAAAGCCCTCTGCCTGTGTATAGGGACAGAAGGTTACCAACAGCATGCAAGTAAAAACCTCACTGTCACTTAGTCACAATTTTTCTTCCAAGTGTAAGAGAAATTCACTCTATGAGCCAACAATATTCAGCTTGCAAATTCTGTCTGTTCAGTTCTAAGACACTGACTACCTACCTAAAGGTCTGATTAAGAAGGAAAAACAGGGTAGTCTCCAGGGGCTTACTAATTTCAAGCTTATGTGAGTGTTCTCATAGATAAATTCACCAAGGTTATAGTGTGCTTGCTTGGCAATTTATCTAGATTACTGGGAAGAGAGTGCTATTAAAAAAAAAAAAAACCTGCCCAAAAAAGCCAAAATAATCTTTTATTTAAGGGGAAGTACCTAAAAAAACACCAATTCTGACAGAACTATTGAATGGTAAGTATAGTAGTGCTACTCTCTCTGGAGAGCTTGTAAGTAAGATGTTAACAGGAAGGAAGCAAGGACAGAAGGGAGGAAGAAGAGAAAGAGGGAGAGAAAGAAAGAAGTAAGGAAGAAAGTGTACTTCCTTCTCCAGGCTCGTTTAAACCCAAATTAATTTTGCTACACCTTTTTACTTTACTTTAGCATATGATGTGGCATGTGTAGGATATGTTTAGGGTTTGGGAGCATGAGAATTTGTGAGATACTGGGATGCTAAATCAGAAATTCTCAGTATTATATTTGAATTAAGACATTTGTATTAGGATTGCCATTAAAAAATTTTAACCAGAAAATCCATAAATGAAAAGACCCTGGGATGTTTTCCAACCAAGAGTCACTCAAACAGTTTATATCTGGGCAGAATCCACTGTCCTCTGTTTCTCCGGGTCATTCATTTATTTAATAAACTCCCAGTAAAATATGAACACTGGGTTAAGGTTGGAATGCAGCAGTCAACGAAACCACAATGGATTTCAGCACTTGTGAGGATTACATTTTAGTAGGTCTGACAGATATTAGTTAAAAAAAATGGCAGACACACAGAACTGTATTAAATACATGTAAACGCACATATAAACTTGAAATAAATATGTGTAAAAAACATATGTGATCAATATGATAAGGAAACATCTCCATGCTAGCACACCCAAGTTAGTATTTTATATTTTGATGGTCCTATATTGTGTTTTGGGCTCAAATAGTCTTACAGAAGTTGTTATTATTCTTTTGTGTTCTGACTGTCTAAAGAATGATTTATTTGGTTTTAAATTTGAGCTATGATACAATTGGCTAAATAGAAACCTCGTAAAATCTCTAAGGTATCTTGCAAAGAAGTCACCAGGAATATAAATAAAGCAAAGATGAAAAATTGCTATGAAAATGTTTGTGCTCTAGAGAGCTCTTTTCGTTTATTTTTGATTTAGCTTCCTTACTATGACTTTTTAGTTTTTGAAATATTAAAATGAGATTATTTAAACAGATGAAAGAAAAATCATTAATTCATTTCTCATACTCTATGACAGACAGTTATCATGGTCTGTGAATGATAAATATGTCCAAGTATGATAGCACCAGGATTTTTAATAGTATTTTGTTGAATGATTTGTATTGATTTGCCTGAAAAGTTGATCATAAAATCTTTCTTACCACATTCATATCCTTCCTGGTGAAAAGCAGCTCTACTTTTATGCCATTCATGTGAATAGAATTTATGACCATCATAAGAGACACTAAAGTTTTTCATATCTAAATATCGAATTTCTGTTTGCTCTTTTTTCCTATAGCGAATAATTGTGTTTCAGTTCTCATCTTGACTTAGCTAAGTCATTCTTAAGTTTTGCACTGAGTATAGAAAAAGCACACATATCTAGACTGCTGATTTTATTTGTGCATTATAAAGTATTTGCTAACATTTGTATTATGAAGTATTTGCTAACATTTGACTTATGCTCATTGATTTACTTCAGTCTTAACTCCAGCTATTACTAAAATAATGACAAAGTATCCGTGTGCCACTTTTCCCTTCATATTATTGGGGCATATACAATTTTAACAAATCTCTGGTACTGATAACAATGTAGAAAATTTTCCAAATCTGAAGGCTCCAAGTTTCCATTTTTAAGGTTATATTTAGCTCCTGTATCTTAGGATACAAGAACTTTAAGTGCAATTTTATAGAATTTCAGGAATTTATTTAATTTTTCAAATATTAAACCTCTTTCAGCCATAAAATCCATGCTTACTTTTAAATGTAGCTATTCTGTTTCAGAAAATGATATTGTTGTTCAATTTTTAAGGAGAAACTTAATGTTAAAAAAGATCATGAATCAAAGTACTGCATTGTGTTTATACCATGGATCAGAGGACTGATTTTTAGAAGCTAAGTGATCTGTATGGGTACTGTGATGTGTCTTCTGTTCTCATGCACAAGCATCTAACACCCCGATAGAATTCTAGATTTCATGCCTTTCTCCGGGTATCTTTTCTAGTACACTGAATAGAGTAGTTGTTTAATGACAATTTTTGATGGTGGGAATGAAAAAGAAGAAATGGACAAATCAGAGTGCCTTTTTAGGACAGGTTGGGGAAAACCATTCTGCAGATGTCATTCATTAATCATAGAGGGTGTACTTTTGTGACAAAAGTGTTGTCTAAATTTTATCCTAAAATTTAAGAAGTAAAAGCACCTTAAAGGACAACTAGTCTAATTTCTTCCTGTGTATGTGTGGAGTGAGAGACAGACGGCATTTGGAAGGGAGAAGACATAATGTGCATGGCATTGGAAAACAAAATAAAACTCCTGCATATTTTAACTACTACCAGGCTTTCAGCATTTACAGGCTAATTAGAGAGACTGTCCTTTTTAAAAACAATGAAGTATCATTTGGCTTTTGGCACTCATGTGCACTGAAGTAGCCAGCACTTGCTGGGCCGCTCATGGCTATTGACACCACAGCAGATACCTCACTTTGACATCTTCCTGATTCCCATTGATAGGGTCTGTTGCATTAGGCCTCCATGCCTGAGTGTTGAAACAGAGCCCATTAATTCCATGTAGCCTTCGTCCTTTATAATAAACGGGCTTAAATTTCTCTTAAAATCAATTAGTTTTACATCATAGAAATCTAGACTCCGAGGCCTTAATGATCTTTTTTGTCTATTTCCCTCCCAAACCCAAATAGAAAACTCGAATTCCATTTGGCATAAAATATCTGCCTTGCTGCTACCTTTGTTATTCATGAAATTTTTGATAAGCTCTCCCTAGAGACCCATGCCTATTAATTTAAAGTGTAATCCTATTTTTATTTTTAAAATTTGAATGCTGTCCTTTTTCCTTAATGTATCTTAACTTACCTGCTTATTAAAAGCATAGTTTTGATTGTTGTAACATAGGACAGACTGGTGAGATTTCAAAGTTGGTAATTAATGACATCCAAAATGACTTCTCAATTACATAGGACCTTCTATTTTGAGATAGCACTGTTGGAAGCAACTTCCTTACATTAATCTAATTGCTTTTTCATAGATTTCATTACACTTATTATAGCCTATTCATTAAAAAAACATGCGTAATACTTCTTTCATATGACAATCTTTCCACCATGTAAATACTGCTTTTTGTATACAAGCATCTTATCTCTCCATGTTAGACATTCCCAGTTGCTTTAACACTTCTTTGTCATCCTGTTCTTCCTTTGACACCACCATCGCCTCAACACACACACCTTTTGAAAAATCCCTTTTCAAACATAGTTTCCGTGACACTTATATCCCATTCAATATACCTCATTAGTTCTGGTTCCATTCTATATTTCATATAGGGTGCTAAACTTTCATATAGGTTTATAGAACTTACAGGTGTTATCTGCACAATGAACAGACATTGTGGGAACTCTCATTGCTCAGGCCCACATAGGACACTTCTGCTAATGTAGCCTAAAATTAAATTAGCTTTTCTCAGCTTCATGACACTGTTCACACGTATTGACCTTATTACTGATTAATACACTTAGGTTAAGCTCCCTTCTGTCTACAGTATATATTTATATGTTTTTTTTAACCCAGGGAATGATTTTACAGATTTTAGGATTAATTGTCATTCAACCTGAATCATTTGATAAGTCAGGAACTTGAATATATTTTTAGCTTCATTTAAAACAATTACTTATGCCAAGTTTATGTTATTTATAGCATTCACTCACATCCTCCCTCTATAACTTCATTCAAACCTCCAGATGCAATGAAAGCAGGTGAGTGCAGAGAAAGAAGAATAACAAGGATGGAAGTTACATCGTATGAACATGATTTCAGGAACAGCCTCAAATTATAGAATCAAGTATTTATTTGAAATTTATTGTTGTATACTATATGAAGTAAGCTAAGAGTATAATAAAAATAATTAAAAGAAACTCGGTATATTTCTAGTTTTAAATGTTCAATAAAGATTACAATAAAATATATAGATAAAATAAAGAATTATTTTTGAACAAACATAAAGCAAATTCAAAAATGCAAAATGTATAGTTAAATAATGAGGGACAGGAACTAATGAGGTATTCTGAATGAACTCTAAGTAGTCTCACAAAGTATCTTTAAAGAGTTGATGCTTGCATAACTTGGAAGACATGTTTAAAGACAGTGCTTCCAGAAATGAAAGCAGATGAAACAGTGCTCTTCTCATCACTAGAGATAGACAAGCAACATCTGGCTAAACATATTTCTGATTATTATGATGGGGATACATGACTGTTCTTACAGCTCTGCTACTGGACCTCTGGATTCCTTCTAACTTTGATATCCCATGAATCAGAAAGCATAAAATATAAAAACCATGATTTACTATGCCTACAACTATGGTTGGAGGATAACAAAGAGATAGAAAGCATAAAGTCTAATCACACATTGGCTTACCAAAAATGAAAGAAGAATAGTATAATACTATGTTAAGCAATGATTTGCTGTACTACGTGGGATTGATGAGTGAGAAATCAGGTGGCTGAGAGATCCATGTGGACTAATGATGTTGGGTCAGGTATTTCTGAGAGGTGACGACTGAGTTGTGATTTGAAGGCAAAGAGTAGGATTGAAACGGATGTTCCAGGGAAGGCTTTTGGTAGACAATGAGCTGTGTCAACCTAAAGCAAAAGGATAGTGAAGGAGATTGATAAGGCCATCTTTTTTGTCATCCCACCTTAGTACCAGACTTCATCCACTCTGTCTAAGATGGTTGGCTAGTCTAGAAATTGTTAGAATCCTAGGCTATATCCAGAGCAGTGGCTTTCAACTAGCACTGTTCATCCTGAGTGCCAACTGGTCTTCATGCTTGAAGTTTCCTGTTGATACTAATATTTAGTGTTATTGCTTTCTAGTCATCCTACATACGATGTCAGATTGATCTCTTAAAAATACTTTTTTCAAACTTAACTCATCTGTTTAAGAATCTATAATCATGGCCAATAGTTCATTTCTGTTATATAGCCTGATCAAAAAGTTCAAGCTCTACTGACCTAAACATTTTCCGTTCATCATCTAATTTAATCCTCATAAAAATCTATGAAATGGCAACGTAATATTGGCAAACACAAATTAACATTTGGTTGTATGATGACTCATATCAGTTTATTTATTCAATTATTCATTAGATGACTCTTATATGCTGGTCAATAGTGCAGGGTGGCAGATCTCAACTGGGGTGAATTTTGTTCCCTAGCTGACATTTGGCAATGTCTGGAGACATCTGAGGTGGGTGGCTCCTGGCATCCGTTAGATAGATATCAGGAATGCTGCTAAACATCCTGCCATTCATAGGGCAGCCCCCCACAGTAAAGGATTATCTGGCAATACATGTCAAGAGGCTGAGGTTGAGAAACCACAATGTAAGGTTTAGAGATATGATGCATAGCGAATCAGACACTCTGCCCTCAAAGAGTTCATGTCATTTATTGGAAGGCAGATATAAAATCAATAACCACAAAATTAAATATATAGTATTAAATATGATAAATAAAAGGAAGACAAAATATAGGGGACCATGAAAAAATAAAACTGGAGGGATCAATTTAGACTCTGATAGAGGGAAGTGCCAGGGAAGACTCTTCGAGAAAGCTTTATTTAAACTGAAATTTAATGAAAAAATAGGAGTTCACAAGGCTAAGTATGCGCAGAGGATCTAGAGGGGGAAAAAACATCACACATTTGGAGAGTAGGATAAAAACCAGGGGGAATGGACTAGAGTGAACTGGGGTGTGTGGATGAGAGATTAGGCTGGTCTCTGATTGTCTTATGTATATAAGTCTTTTCTCTATAATAATGTTGTAGTTCCCATGAGGAGAACATGACAAATACAGTATTTATTTTCTATCCCATAGAGCACTTTAAACGATATTGGGACATAATAGGCACACAATAACTTCTTGCTAACTTGACTTGTGCATTTTTCCTAAGAATCCAATTTCTAGATTGTATTATGCCTGTTTTCACTTTGGGGGAATGGTAACATGTTTGACAATCTTTCCGATTGATTTGGGAGTTGCTTCCAATCGCAGAACCAGCCTGAGCGCTGCCATTTGTCAGGCAGTCACCGTGTCTGCAGGCTGCCCGGGGCTGCACTGAGCTTATTATATAATGACTATTAGTAAATCACTTGTTGTCAGCTGGCTTTATTTTGGAATTTGAATAAAAACCATAGATTTTGTTATTTTTCCTGAAGAATTCTTTCTAAATAGCATTTTCCTCTCTATTGGGTATTAGTCAATTGTTTAAAGAGTAGGGCAGATATTCATTTTGCTATATGAAGAATTCAGATGATTTATAACACACTGAATTATCACAATCCATTTAATACCAGGAGTGTCCAATATAAATACCCATAAAACATTAAAAAATATTATAAAGGAAATAAAAACCCTTTGAATACTAAGATTTTCTTTGGAAAGCATTTCAATTACTATTAACATAGGAGAATAAATTTTTAAAAGGCCATTTTAAAAGTATTCCATAAAGAATACTTTTGATTCATTCCAAATACTCCCTGAATTTATATTTTATGAAGTTTAGGGAAGGTGTCAATCTAGATTAGTGAAAATATAAAAATTTTTCACACTTCTAAGAAGTTCTGATTAATATATATATTTGTATCATTTTAATTAAAGGTTAAAAGAATCATTTTGGTCTGAATCGGTGGAATTTTGACTAAGCTTCCTCTAGAGAAAAGATAAAGGGCTGATCTTGAAAATTTCATGAAAGGAATAATATGTTTTTATCATAATAGAAAAACAAAACACTTTCTATGAACAGCTATATATCCCATATAATCCGTCTCCAGTTAGGTATGCTGAGTTGAATACTTTGTTAGATTATTCTCTGCAATGTTCCTTGGTGTGTTTAACATATCTTGGCAGCTTTATGTGCTCCATAAGTGATTATTGAATGACATGATGAATAAATAATTATTGAAGCCCAACTGTGTCATACACCCTGCAATAAAATTTAAAAATATATACATACCCATAGAGAGACGTTTTATGATTATTTTAATAGAACTTTGCTTTGGGCAATATTTAAGTTTTGGGGAATTCAAAAATATCTCTCTAATTAGCACTTTGTTCTTTCTCCATTCTCTTGATTTCACAAACTGCTTGCTTTCTGGAGTAAGCCTGATATTCTTCCTTTAAGGCTGCAAAAATGGTACAATCAAACTTATCAAAAGGTCAGTTCAAGCTCATGTTCCTTTGCTCTCTTGCCACCTAGGGGATAAAGTTCCTGATAGAGAACTGTGTAATCATTTCAGAGAATATTGGGGTTTGGAGTCATGAAAAAGAACCAAATATATGAAAAATTCATGGTCCTTCATTGGCATGCATACTGTTCTTTGATTTTCATCAGACAGTAAATGAGAAGAACCTGAAGTCTTGTTTGTGTTAACAGGGCTCTTTTAGATGCTGGACAACTCCTGTAAATAAATACTCAGCATGTCATGAAAAATTCTACCACTGCATACAAGAATAGACTTTGGCACACTGGGGCCTAAATGTAGACAGTGATTTCCCTGACTGGCCACTATTAAAAACAATTTACATTAATAACAAAATGCATGGAAGAGAAGATGCATCATGAGATGACGTTACCATATAGAATACAGAGGCAGGTGTGAGATTTACAGTTCATTAGGCATGCTGATTACATTCAGCATTAAATTAATATAGAGAGATAAGAAGAATATCAATTTTGCAAGTATATTTTGGAAATCACTTTCTGCTTAATCTTTAAGCTAAGTGCTGCAGGTGAGGTTAAAATTTTTCCATCTATAACAAAATTTAATGAACATATTGAATTGCAGTGCAGTTAGTAGCATGCCTTAAATATGCAGGCTTCTCTAAATGATAATCATTTAAGTCATATATATGTGAATGAGAGGCACTGTATGATTTATGATATCAGAACGGCATAACATGTTAAAGCTGAAAGTGACCTTAGAAATCATCTAAAACTGTCTGCTTCATCTGGCAGGCTATGAAATTAACACTAGTGGAGTCAAATGATTTCTCAAATTTTCATGATAAATTTCTAAAAAGTTTTCCACCATTTTATTCCTATTAACCCATTTAACTTCATAGTAGCACAGAGAAAAAAATTAAATAGCATATTTTTACTTGCAAATTTGAAATGAAGTTTTGTTTCATTGCTTCTTAACTGTTAAGTGAATAATTTCAGGTTAAAATTATTGCAAAAACGTATCAACTTATTATGCAAATAGCTGATACATTTCACACAGATAGCTTGTTTTGGAGGTAGATAAATGTGCTAAAGGGCTCAGCATGCATTTTGCAATGTGTAAGAGGCATTTTTATTTTGCTGTTGATCTGTTGCTTTTAGCCATGAAAGAAAGAATGCACTTTGGTTTGCTTTTTTCACAGCTTCATTTGTCATGTGTCTTAGAGTGACACAAATAGACAGGCTGACAACAGATTTATTACCTAAAGCTCAGCTGAAAAATTAAACGATACAGCTAAAAGTCATAGTTGGCCTGAATACCCTCTGACCATCACAAGATTGAATGAGCACTACAAAGCCCAGAATAATAAAGTGGTGAAATATTTGGGAGAAAAAGAGGTTGGGAATAAATCACTAATTTGGTCAGTCTTGACTGACTAAAGAGGGAATACTTCTTAAAACATCTATCCCATCTCTAAATTATATGCCTTTCTAAATAGGAGGAAAGTCGACTCTTTCCCAGTAATCTACTAGGTAATTGTCTCACAGTTTTACAAAGCAATATAATTATTTACTGTAACTTTTCCATATTCAGATTATCTGTTGAGCATTAAAAGAAGCTAGTTTCAGATTATCTGTTGAGCATTAAAAGAAGCTAGTTTCAGTGGTACGTGAAGGTGTTGCTCCAAACTGAAGTCAGAAACCTGAAAAATGTTTGTTTTACATATGTTCAGTTGACATTGTGTATAAATTATTAAATAATTTATATTAGCTAAAAATAAACATTTATACAGTAAAAATGGCAAGAACACTAAATTTTTCTAGTTTGTATTTGATATCTTTTAATAGTTTCTGAAATGTGATTGATTCCAAAGCTTTCTTTTCAAGAAAGAGACAAATTAACATTCTGTGTTGAATACAGATAGTCCTGAATCCCACTTTGTTAAAGTCATTTTGCATGTTTTTCCTTTATATTGTTTCAGGGGGACTATATAATGAGTCTTCTGTTATTTATTTATTTTTGTAATTTTCACAATCAGGGAAAAATTATAAGGAAATAAATGTATCTTCAGAGCCTAGAAGATTTTGGTAGGTGTGAATAATATGCCCAAAGGTAAAATTAATCTCATGTCTTATTGAATATGTGCCAACACTTTCTCCCCTTTATGATTAAATAAAGAAGTTATTTCACAAAAGCTTCAGGGTTTATTATTCTGGTGTCACTATGCAATGTGAGTGAAATAAAATGAAAAAAATAAAAATCTTTTTTACTGTGAGTGCCACCTAGATAATAAGTATATGTGATCATAGAAGTATATCTCATAAAGAGTTAAATCCTAAATCATTTAACTTTTATATCCCCTGCTCTCTCTTGAAGGAAAAAAAAGGATGGAGGAGGAGAAATAGATTTAATAGTTCACTATTCTGTCTAAAAGCTTCAAAGTTCCCTAATGTGTTTATTCAGAATTACCCTAACACGATATTGTTCTTTATGGTTGTCTGATTTGCTTATGCTGTATGATGCTCTCCCTGTCTTAACAGGTTAAAAGCAGAATGAATGTCATAGAGCTGTGTGAATCTTTTTTGATAAATAGAACCCTTAGTGGAAATCTAATAACTTCAAACATAAAATATTGATCCTGCTCTACTTATTCTTGTGAATCTTTTAATATTGCAAAATCTTGATTTTCACAATTACATGAAAAGAAAAATATAAGGTTACAGTTTATTTTCCAAATGTGACTGGTTTATTCTTAGTAATGCTGAATGTCAAGTTCTTTTTGCTGAATAATTATAGTAACATTTAATATTATGAAATTTTCAAATTACCCAGGATTATAATGAACCTAGCTAGTACAAGTAGGAAAATAAAGTATTTTTATACTTGCAGTTGTGCTTTTGCTATCCTCAGGTACATAGAAAACAGTGCAAACAGTGGAAAAGTTAGCAGAATACAGGTGGTCTAAATTTTTGTCTTTTTCTCCTACAATATGACTCCTACAATATGACTCTTGGAGGATAAGTCTTTTGAACAAAGTAATCACTATGACCATTCAAACTGTCAAAATATTAGTAGGTCAAATTGTGATGCCTCTGTGTGTGTTTATGTGTCTGTAGTGCTATAGCAGATAGCCACCTTCCTCAGCAAGCCTTTAGCATATATATCCTGGATACAGCCAGAACAAAAGTGGTGTATGTTCCCACCGATTGGTGGATCAGAAGTATCACTCACAAGGTGTGGAACAAGAAAACAAATGAAGCTCACATATGATATGTCTTAATATTTAAATGTTATAAATCTTTCTAATAAACTGTACATTATTATAAATTATGCTCAAGTCTCCTACCTTGACAAATACAACTGTCTAATGATATGAAAGGATTAATTCAAATTTAGAATTCTTGGACTCCTGTGAAACCATACTTAACCTGGTGATGCAGATCCTTGGTCTCTATCTACTCCCCTTCACACTCTAGACTACATCTTAGTAAAGAAGAAGATTTGTTTGCACCTAGATCTTACATTCCCACTGCAGCTATACTCCTAAAGACAACTAACTCCCTATAGGTTTAGCAGTAGGCAAGCCGGCACACTTTGACAGAGAGAGAGAGAGAGAGAGAGGGAGAGACTTAGGTGGGCTCTGAAGTGGTTCAAAGACATTTGGACAGAGAGTTGCTAGGGTCTTGTGTATTAGTTCATTTTCATGCTGCTGGTAAAGACATACCCGAGACTGGGTAATTTATATAGAAAAATAGGTTTAATGGACTCATAGTTCCACATCGCTGGGGAGGTCTCACAATCATGGCAGAAGGCAAAAGGCATTTAAGAGATATGATAATGGTGGCAGATAAGAGAGAATGAGAGCCAATCAAAAGGGGAAACCCCTTATAAAATCATCAGCTCTCATGAGACTTATTCACTGCTAAGAGAACTGTACTGGGGAAACTGCCCCCATGATTCAGTTATCTCCCACGGGGTCCCGCCCACAACATGCAGGAATTATGGGGCTACAATTCAAGATGAGATTTTAGTGGGAACACAGCCAAACCAAATCATCTTGTGAGCCTTTTCCATAATCTAAAGTCCCCAGACAGCCACATCAGCAAAACCTAGGATTTTGTTAAAAATGGAGAATCGGCCGGGCGCGGTAGCTCTCGCCTGTAATCCCAGCAAGAGGAGGGTGGATCACGAGGTCAGGAGATAGAGACCATCCTGGCTAACACGGTGAAACCCCGTCTCTACTACAAATACAAAAAATTATCCGGGCTTGGTGGTGGGCACCTGTAGTGCCAGGCGCCCACCTGGGACCAGCCACACCCCAGAACTACTGAAACAGAATCTGCATTTTAGAATGATCTGTCAGTAATTTATTTCAGACCCGTTGGTCTAAAAGATAGGGTAAGTGTGTCACAGATGCCAGGTAGGCATGTCCCCTTGGTCCTTCATACTCTTCTCCCAGGGCTATCACTAACTTCCAAATCTAGGATGTAAAAGCTGTAAATACATGTTTGTGTTAATCACCACAGACAGTAGAACTAGCTATTTTTTTGGATAAATACAAACTAAAGATGTATTTTAATGAGGGATGTTGGGAATAGGGGAGGCTATGTATTGTGTGGGGGCAGAAGTTATGTAGGAAATCTTTGAACTTTCCTCTACATTTTTCTGTGAACCTAAAACTTCTTTGAAATATCGTCTTATTTAAACAGCTTTAATAAAATAATTTAAATACACTGTACAATTGAACAATTGAAACATTTTCTTTCTTTCTTTTTTTTTTTTTTTTTTTTGTTTTTAAGACGGAGTCTCCCTCTGTTGCCCAGGCTGGAGTGCAGTGGTGTGATCTCGGCTCACTGCAACCTCCACCTCCCAGGTTCAAGCAATTCTCCTTCCTCAGCCTCCTGAGTCTCTGGGACTACAGGGCACGTGCCACCACGCCTGGCTAATTTTTGTATTTTCTAGTAGAAACGGAGTTTCATCATGTTGGGTAGCCTGGTCTCGAACTCCTGACCTCGTGATCCGCCCACCTCGGCTTCCCAAAGTGCTGGGATTACAGGCATGGGCCACCACGCCTGGCCTTTATTTCTTACTGATAGAGAATCATGATTGTAATAGTAGGCCTCTAAACAATCAAATGATTTTACGTGGCTATAGAGAGTGTATTATAAATTCAATGGTATTTGTTTCTGTTTAGAGGCACAAGCTGAAATTTTGTTCTATCCATGTTAACACATGCATTTTGATACATGATGTATACAGGCAGCTGTTAATTATAGCCCAAGTGCTAGCTGCATAAACTCACAGAATAAAACCTACTTCCTTCTGTTTAATATCTAATTATGTTTCTAACATTGAAGACTAAAGACTAAAGTTGATGTTTTATTATTAGGGTTTTTATTGGGGGTTTGAGTTTTATCTTAAGTTGAACTTCACTTCCTGTCAACATTAATCATGTACATATTGAAAAAAATGCAATATTTGGCCTCTCAGTTGCCTTCTATGAATTTTTAAAAAATGGTAACGCTGGTTAGTGTCCTAAAAATGTTAATGAAAATTTAATTAAATAGCTACAAATATTTTTTAAACACATATCTCTTAGATTTATGTAATCTCTGACACTATTTTTTATGATGAATATTATTCTGTACCAAGAAGAATTAATATTAGAGGATTAGCAGTCTTTTGGCTTAACAATTATTTACAGACTATAATACTTAGTTTTATAAAATATTTAGTATCTAAATGACTTCTGTCCAGTTTATATGATCTAATATAATACCAAAACTTGGTTTGGAGTGTGAAAGGAAAATATCTTGGGGCCCTAAAATCACTAAGCTAAAGAGAAGAGTCAACCTGGGAACTACTTAGGGCAAACCTGCCCCCCATTCTATTCAGTCACCCCTCTGCTCACCGAAATAAATGCATATCTCATTGCCTTCTTTGGAGAGTCTAATCAGAAACTCAAAAGAATGCAACCATTTGTCTCATATCTACCAATAACCTGGAAGCACCCTCCCCTTTTGGAGTTGTCTTGCCTTTTCAGACAGAACCAATGTTCATCTTATATATGTTGATTGATGTCTAATGACTCCCTAAAATGCGTAAAACCAAACTGTGCTCTGACCACCTTGGGCACATGTGTTCAGGACCTCTTGAGGCTGTGTCACGGGTGTGCATCCTCAATCTTGGCAAAATACACTTTCTAAATTAACTGAGACCTGTCTCAGATCTCCGGGGTTCACAAGAGCATTTTTATGTCAAATATCTACTTAAAATGTTATATTTATTTCAAGTAACTATCAGCTGAATTAAATAGGTCGTATGTCACAAAATTTTTTTAACTGACAATTACATTTAATAGTTTAACACAATTTTAACATCATTAATTATGTTTACTTACTAATTGACAGGAACATTCAAAATGAGTTACAGTTAGGTAGCTTAAAAGAATGCCATTAAAATAAATAACATAATTACTTTAGCCATAGTTGCTTTTGTTAATATGAATCATCTTATTTAACTTTGTGTAAGTTAGGAGACACAGAAACAGACAAATGAAAGAATTGTGGAGAGAAAAACGATGATGAAATGAAAGTAATTAAAAATTGTGGTAAAGGGAAAAATATGATAGAATGAATTACTCTTTCATCTAAAAATGGGAGATTTGTTAGAAATTAATAATTCAAGAGAAAATAAAAGACATTAGGAATGTATACATTTAGAAGGAAATTAGTATATATATTATACAATTGAGTAATAAGCAATATTTGATCTATTTTATTTTCTACTTATTGTAAGAGGAAGAAAGAGGAAGACATTTTAAAGCAAATGAGGTCAGTGTGTCGATATGCAAACATGAGATTGAAATATGTGGGTAATTAGATGTCTATAGTCCTCCTACTATTTCAACAAAACTATCCAGAGATAGTTTTTTCTAGAGCAAGGGTCCCCACACTGCTTGCCATGGACCAGTACTATGACCAGGTCCATGACCTGTTAGGAACCAGGCTGTACAGCAGGAGGTGAGCGGGCGAGCGAGCATTACTGCCTGAGCTCCACCTCCTTTCAGATCAGTGATGGCATTGGGTTCTCATAGGAGCACAAGCCCTATTGTGAACTGCGCATTCCAGGGATCTAGGCTGTGCACTCCTTATGAGAATCCAATGCCTGATGATCTGAGATGGAACAGTTTTATCCTGAAACCATCACCCCCAGCAACCCACCCAATGTATGTGGAAACACTGTCTTTCATGAAACCAGTCCTCGGTGCCAAAATGGTTGGGGACAGGTTGTCTAGAGTTCCTTCCTCAGCTTGATTTCACAGAGAGCCAATAGTTATACAACATAGTGAATTATGGACTGCAGGGATGAGATAGGACCGTTTGCATATAATAAAGAATATTCAAAACTCAATAATATAACATCTACCCTTTTTGAAAATATGTAAATGATTTGGACAGTCACTTTACCACAGAAGATACATGGATGGCAAAGAGGCAATTGAATAGATGCCTCACATCATTACTCACTAGGGAAATGCAAATTAAAACCACAATGGAACATCACTACATATCTGTTGTTATACCTTAAATGAAACAGGCTGATCATATCAAGTGTTGGAGAAGATGTTGAGGCACTGGAATTCTCATGCACCACCACTGAGAATGCAAAATGCTATAACCACCTTGGTGATAAATTTGGCAGTTTATTTATTTATTCTTTTTTTTTTTTTTTGAGACAGTGTTTCACTCTTGTCACCCAAGCTAAGCTGGAGTGCAGGGGCATGATCTTATCTCACTGCAACCTCCACCTCCTTTGTTCAAACAATTCTTCTGCCTCAGCCTCCCAAGTAGCTGAGATTACAGGCACCCACCACCACATCCAGCTAATTTTTGTATTTTTATTAGAGATGGGGTTTCACCATGGTGGCCAGCCTGGTTTCGAACTTCTGACCTCAAGCGATCCTCCTGTCTCAGCCTCCCAATGTGCCAGGATTACAGGCATAAGCCACTGCACCTGGCCAAATTTCACAGTTTCTTAAAAAATAAGCACAATCCTACCACATGATCCAAGCTTTTCATTCCTATGTAGTTACCCAAGAGAAATGAAATCAAATGTTCACGACAAGACTTTGATGTGAATGTTCATAGCACCTTTACTTTTAATAGCCAAAAACTGGAAACAACCTAAATATCTATTGACAGGTAGTATCCCTACAGAATGAAATACTACTGAGCAATACATAGAAGAAAACTATCAATAGATGCAAAAACATGGATGAATCTGAAAATTGATTTGTCAAAGAATGCTGAAAAGGGAATGCATATTGTATGAATATATTTATAAAATTCTAGAAAATGCAAACTAAACTGTAATGACAGAACGATCACGGGAACCTGTGGATGGAGGTGGGGGTAGGGAGAGGCAGGGAGGATGTAACAAATTTAAAGTCTGTGCAGTTCATTGTATATAATTTTTATCTCTATGAAGCTATTTCTTTTAAATGTTGCAAAGAAAAAATAATGAAAAGTTGGGACCAATACAAGAACAATGAAACAGAAAATATAGCTCAGAAACATTTGATATTTTATAATTTTACATTTTATATGCAATATATTTGTGCATATGTTTGGGTATGTATATGCATCACAGAGGACAGATAAGAAACTGATCAGGACGGTTTACCAGAGAAGAAGTTATCCAGAATTATTGAGGGATGGGTTAAATAGGTGCAGAAAGACAAGTTAGGGCTAGATTGAAAAACAATATGGATTTTGCATTAAAAATAAGAAGGAGTTGCTGGGTCAGGACATGTTCAGAGCTGTTCTTTAGGAATTTCTAAGGTGTGGGGTATAGAGTTGATTTTAAAAAGATATTGAAAATGAGCAGATTATTCAGAAGACAATTATAAAAGTGTAGGAAGTGCTAAGAAATTCAGACTAGACTTAAAGCAGTGCCTGTGGAGAATATGAAGATAAATAAAATACAGTTTTTCTTCCCAGAAGACATACATGAAATATGGGTATAAAGTTTTTTATGGAGTAGTAAGAAGTTTGGTAAGACGAAAACAACAGAAAGGAAAAAACAGGGCAGTTTCTGCAAAATAATTGGAAGGTGCAGCTTTTGGATACCGACTGTATCTGGGCAAAATTACTGCAAAGACCTTGAGGTCCCATGCAAAGGGTCAATGCAGAATGATACAAGGAAATGCAGGAGGTAGATGATTAGAGGTCAGTTGTTTCATAATTTTTTTTATCATGGGAGAGGAGATAGTACAGCCTTCTCCGAGTTGGAACTGATAAATTAGTGATAGAATCAGCAGAATGACTCTATCTCTAGAGAAGACCTCAGTGACTTGCCTGCATGGGGGATTCAGATCAAATGGAGTAGCTAGTAGAGTCAGTGTATGTAAGGAAATTTCTGTGGGGAAAAATGAAAAGTAAAGGAGGCCTGAAGAGAGGTACATTTAATATTTGGTAAAAGTTTAGACTTTACTGTTTTGGAGACCAAAGAATTATGAGAGATGTAGTTAACAGAGTTCTGGCAGGTAGCTAAAGCTGTGAAAAGTAACATTGGAAGAAAAACACAGGTCCTATAAGATTCAAAATGATTATTACAATTACAAGGAAATGAATAAAAGTAAATGGGGGTGGGGGGAGTCAAGAGGGGACAAGAGAAGGACATAAATGGAGGAAGGAGAGATAGTGACAGAGCAGAAATCAATGTCACAATATCCTGGCTGATGAGGAGAATTTGGAGTATAACAGCCACTATTGCTAGCAGTCAAGATAAAAAGAGAAGCAATAAGGTACATAGTTCATGTTGCTAATTAGTAGATAGTACACCAGATTGTAGAGAGGAAAATCTTTCTGGACCATTAAGTCATATTCTCTTTTTTAGAAAAGACCTTTCTCTCCTTGTCTAGGAATTTTCTAAATTGTGTTTTCATTTATAAATACTTGTACATATTTATGGTACAGTGCGATATTTCTATACTTGTATACATCATGTAAAAATAGAAACAGAGCATTTAGCATGTGCATCACCTTGTATATTTATCATTTCTTTGTGATGAGAACATTCAAAATCCTCTCTTCTAGCTATTTTGCCATATGCAACACAATATTGTTAACCATAGTCACTCTACTGTGCAATAGAAAACTCAGATTTATTCCTTCTATCTAATTGTAACTTTATACCCGTTGACCAATCTCTCCCTACTCTGCCCTTCCCTCCCCAGCTTTTGGTAAACGCTATTCTACTCTTATTCTCTCCTCTACTTCTTTGAAATCGACTTCTTTAGACTCCACATATGAATGAGATCATGCAACATTTGTCTTTCTGTCCCTGCCTTACTTCACTGAACATGGTATCTTCCAGATTCATTCATGTTGCTGCAAATGAAAGGATTGTATTCTTTTAAGACTGAATTCCTCTATGTGTATGTGTGTGTCTCTCACTCTCTGTGCAATATTTTCTTTATCCATACATTTGTTAATGAACACTTAGGTTGACTTAGTATCTTGGCCATTGTGAACAATGTTGCAATAAACATTTCGCAATATTCTTGATTGCTGATTTTTGCTGAAAATCTAGGCTGCTTGTTCCATTTATGCAGAACAACAACTACCCTATAGGGTACATTAAAATATACTGCCTCTCTACTTTTACACTGTTGGTGGGACTGTAAACTAGTTCAACCATTGTGGAAGTCAGTGTGGCCATTCCTCAGGGATCTAGAACTAGAAATACCATTTGACCCAGCCATCCCATTACTGGGTATATACCCGAAGGATTATAAATCATGCTGCTATAAAGACACATGCACACGTATGTTTATTGCGGCACTATTCACAATAGCAAAGACTTGGAACCAACCCAAATGTCCAACAATGATAGACTGGATTAAGAAAATGTGGCACATATACACCATGGAATGTTATGCATCCATAAAAAATGATGAGTTCATGTCCTTTGTAGGGACATGGATGAAGCTGGAAACCATCATTCTCAGCAAACTATTGCAAGGACAAAAAACCAAACACCGCATGTTCTCACTCATAGGTGGGAATTGAACAATGAGAACACATGGACACAGGAAGGGGAACATCACACACCGGGGCCTGTTGTGGGGTGGGAGAAGGGGGGAGGGATAGCATTAGGAGATATACCTAATGTTAAATGACGAGTTAATGGGTGCAGCACACCAACATGGCACATGTATACATATGTAACAAACCTGCACAATGTGCACATGTACCCTAAAACTTAAAGTATAATTAAAAAATAAAATTAAATTAAAAAAAGAGATACTGCCTCTCTCCTGAGAAAGTACAGGCTACTGGGTGTAGAGTTTTGCTAAAGGATTGTGGCTTTGGGAATAGAAAAGTTGAGCCTTCATTAGCCTCACCATAGCCCAGTACCAGGACCATGTTTTGACTGATCAGGGTAGGCTGAATTTCTGGCCTACAAGCCCTTATGCAGTGCACACGTTTCACAGGACCTAGCAAATCCGTATATATTAAGAATATTTGCGTCGCAAGTTTTATGGAATCTTGTTTTTATAATAATAAAAGAAGTTGTTTAAGCCACTACAGAAAAGAAAGAAAGTCATGTAGCTAGGTGTCATGTAGCTAGGTGAAGAAAATATTGGTAGTGAGCATGTTATAATTTTTAGGATATATTTTAATGTTTTAACCTTCAGCCCTTGAATTTTAATTAACTTTTCCTATAGTTTTAATAATTCGTTTACCTTACTGAATTTTGTATTTTGAAGTTTGGTCTGCTAAAATTATCAATTTAACTATCACTTAATCTAAGGCACTTTGTTTCTACATGATTGTGACTGAAAGAACTTACTCCCTGGTTACTCATCACCAGTTATTCTCTGTTTCAAAGACTAGAGGTCATTATAATTTTTTTATCACATAAGAAATATTTAGCGTGTAGCCCTACTTCAACACTTATCCAATTCTTATTTTCCACAAAGAAAGCTCATTAAGCTTATTTTGATGACTCAGAATTAGAGGATACCTCTCAAATTTCTTCTCCCACATACTTCACTGGTTGTTCTGAACTCCAAAGAAAGAAAAATCAGAAGGAGGCCGGGCGGAGTGGTTCATGCCTGTAATCCCAGCGCTTTGTGAGGCTGAGGCGGGCGGATCACTAGATCAAGAGATGGAAACCATCCTAGCCAACATGGTAACCATCCTAGCCAACATGGTGAAACTCCGTCTCTACTAAAAATACAAAAATTAGCCGGGCGTGGTGGCATGCACCTGTAGTCCCAGCTACTCAGGAGGCTGAGGCAGGAGAATGGCATGAACCCGGGAAGAGAAGGTTGCAGTGAGTCTAGATTGCGCCACTGCACTCCAGCCTGGCAACAGAGCCAGACTCAAAAACAAGAAACAAAAAACAAGGAAGGAAGGAAGGAATGAAGAAAGAAAGAAAAGAGGCCTGGCGTGGTGGCTCACGCCTGTAATCTTAGCACTTTGGGAGGCCGAGGCAGGCAGATCAGGAGGTCAGGAGATCGAGACCATCCTGGCTAACAGGGTGAAACCCCGTCTCTACTAAAAATACAAAAAATTAGCCGGGCGCAGTGGCGGGCGCCTGTAGTCCCAGCAACTCTGGAGGCTGAGGCAGAAGAATGGCGTGAACCCGGGAGGCGGAGCTTGCAGTGAGCCGAGATAGTGCCACTGCAGTCCTGCCTCGGCGAAAGAGCAAAAAAAAAAAAAAAAAAGAAAAGAAAAAATCAGAAGGAGGCTGGGCACAGTGGCTCACGCCTGTAATCCCAGCACTTTGGGATGCCGAGGCAGGTGGATCACGAGGGCAGGAGGTCGAGACCATCATGGCCAACATGGTAAAACCACGTATCTACCAAAAAAAAAAAAAAAAAAAAAAATTAGCCAGGTGTGGTGGTGCAAACCTATACTCCTAGCTACTCGGGAGGCTGAGGCAGGGGAATCACTTGAACCCGGGAGGCAGAGGTTGCAGTGAGCCAAGATCGCACCACTGTACTCCAGCCTGGGCTACAGAGCAAGACTCCCTCTAAAAAAAAAAAAAGAAAAAAGAAAAAAAAAAGAAAAGAAAAGAAAAATCAGAAGAAAATAATACATGTATATTTTTTGAAAAATGCATATAAAGAATAGAATGGAATGACCGACTTTTGGTAGTTTTGTGAAATTTCAGGATATTTTTATTTTTAATATCCCTTTGACTTTTTAGCACTTTTTAAAGATATCTACTCCTTTTTACTTCAGACCAAGGGACAGTTTTTCTTTATCATCTTTTGTGATGACAGCAACAGCAACAGTGAGTTAAAATAAAAATACAACAAACAAGTAAGTGTGTGTTAACAGACTGAATTCTACCCCTACCTCCCATTCATATGTTGACATCTTTGATGTGACTGTATTTGGAGATAGGACCTTTAGGAGGAAATTAAGATTAAATGAAATCATAAGGATGGGAGCCTAATGGAATAGGACTTCCTTGTAAGAGGAAGGGACACCAATACACACAGAGAAAAGGCCATGTAAAACACAGCCAGAAGATGGACATCTGCTATTTAGGGAGAGAGAACTCAGCAGAACTTACCCTTCCAGTACCTGAATCTTGGACTTCCAGACTCCAGAACTATGAGAAAATAAATGTTTGCTTTTTAACCCACCCAGTGTGTGGTATTTTGCTATGGCAGCCCCAGATGGCTGATACAGTGTATATATTTTAAAATATGCAATATGAATATATTGATAGACACTAAAATGCAATTTATAAATATTTATTCATACTTTTCTTCATTTGATCATTTAATTAAATATTTATTGAACACCATCTATACTCCAGACACACTCCCAGCTGCCCCTGGGATTTTAAAGATTAGGGGCGTGGATTGTGTCTTCACTGAGTCAATGGAGTGCTTAATCGTTTCCATAGTTATTTCAATTACAAAAATCCTAAGATGCATGGAATATAGACATGGTGGCACACGTTTATTGTCCCAGTAACTTGGGAGTCTGAGACAGAAGAATCCCCAGAAGTTCAAATCAAATCCAGCCTTGGCAACACAGTGAGATCCTATCTCTAAAAAAAATAAAATAAAAAAAATAAAAGATACATGCAATGATAACTAATTGGCTCTAAAAGGAAAATTTTCTGCCACTTCCCTTGACTTTCTCTTTTAGAATGTAACCTCCTCTAATGTCTCGTGTTTTTCATTGTTTTATTCCCATAGTATCAGATACACCATGATCCACTCCCAAGAATGTTAAAATAATGACTTAAATATTTATTGTTTCATGTTGAAGATTTTTGTTGTCATAAAATGTGAATAATTTGGATTTATTTTATTTCAATATCTTTAGGGATACAAGTGGTTCCTGCTTACATGGATGAATTGTATAGTCATGAAATTCGGGCTTTTAGTGTACCCATCACCCAAATAGTGTACATTGTACCCAATAGGTGATTTTCTATTCCCACCTCCTACCCTTCTTCCCCCATCTGAGTCTCCAATGTCCATTATACCTTTGTATGCCCTTGCTTACCCGTAGTTTAGCTCTCACTTATAAGTGAGAAAATGTGTTATTTGGTTTTCCATTCCTGAGTTACTTTACTTAGGATAATGTTCACTTAGGATAATGGCCTCCAGTTCCATCCAATTTGCTGCAAGAGATATTATTTTATTCATTTTAATTGTTAAGTAATATTCATATATATATATACACATATATATACGGGTACGTACACACACACACACACACGCACACAAACACACTTACATACATACTACATTTTCTTTATCCATCCAAAAGTTGATGGGAACTTAGGCTGATTCTGTATCTTTGCAATTGTAAATTGTACTGCGATAAGCATACACTTGCAAGTGTCTTTTTGATGTAATGACTTTTTTCACTTTGGGTAGATACCCCGTAGTGGGATTTCTGGATAGAATGGTAGATCTATTTTAGTTCTTTGAGAAATCTCCATATTGTTTTCCATAGAGGCTGTACTAATTTACAATCAACCAGCAGCGTATAAGCATTCCCTGTTCACAGCACAATGCCAACATCAATTTTTTTTCTTTTTAGTAATAGCCATTCTGACTAGAGTAAGATATTATATAATTGTGTTTATATTAAGTGTGTATATTAGGTTTGCATTTCCCTGATGATTAGCAATGTTTAGCATTTTTCATATGTTTATTTTCCATTTGTATATCTTTTTTGAGAAATGTTCATGTTGTTTGCCTACTTTTTAATGGAATTATTTGGTTTTTTCTCACTGATTTGTTTGAGTTTCTTGTAGATTTGGGATATTAGTCCTTGGTTGAATAAATAGTTTGCAAATATTTTCTCCCAATCCACTTGTTATCTGTTTACTCTGTTGATTATTTCTTTTTCTGTGCAGAAACTTTTTAGTTTAATTAAGTCCCATTTATTTATTGTTATTTTGATTATATTTGCTTTTGTGTTCCTAGTTAGAATTTCTTTGCCTAGGCCAATGTCCAGACAAGTTTCTCCTAAGTTTTTTTTCTAGAATTTTTATGCTTCCAGGTCTTACATTTAAGTCTTTAATCCACCTTGAGTTAATTTTTGTATATGATGAGAGATAGGGGCTTGGTTTCATTCTTCTGCATATGGCTATCCAATTTTCCCAGGACCATTTATCGAATAGGATTATCTTTTCCCCGGTGTATGTTTTTGTCTGCCTTGTTGAAGATTAGTCGGTTATAAATATTTGTTAGATACATGTAGTTTTCCCCTTTGTTAGTAATGAAAATTCTTAGTAGTTAATATTTACTTGTGAAATATTTTTATTAGGAGGTCAGTACATTTTTTCTTTATTTTTATTAAAAGTTAAAAATGTATTCTTAGAGTTGTCTTTGGGCTTATAATAATAGGCTTGGTATCTACTAAGACATTATTATAGATAAGAATTACAACATTTTGTGTCTGTTAGTATTGGGCTACAGTGTCACATAAGTACCAGGTGATAGCCAGGGTGGCCAAAAAATCTTGACTATATGTCCAAAAATATGTCATCAAATTCTAAAAACTAAGAAAATAGATTTTACCTTATAGTGTTTCATCTTTAGAAAATATTTTCATAAATAGAGCAGTACTATTTAAGTCTTTGTGACTATATTACAAGTTGGATGTTTGAAACACTAACTAAACTTCATAGAGCTTCATATTGCCATAGCACTACCCTACTGTCTTAATTATATATATATATGCCATATATATATATGCCATATATATATATGGCATATATATATATGGCAGCTTCAGTTAGCTACTCTGCACATAGAACAGGTAGATTATATCTATCACAGATGAAAACAATGTATTTTTCTGCTTGTAATTCATTCATAATTTTCTAGATTCAGATTCTTTCAGGAAGTGTCATGAATCCACATAATATTCCCAAATGCTAGATGTTGTATTTATATATGTGATTTAGCTGACAGATATATAAAGTGACATGCAGCTAGATAACCATATAATGATTGTGTAGCTTTGAATCCTGAAAACGCCAGTTACCCTGTTGAAGTAGATATACAATATTGTCAAAATAATCCAATCCCAATTTATTTTCTTCTCTTAATTGAATATTAGTAACAGTAAAACAAATGACCTATTTTTGAATATTTGTAAAATGATACACAAAAACAATGAATAAAGGTAAAGAAAAAATATGTTTTTGTTGTACTTCTTAAATGTAGATTATAAACTGTATGATTCTGGATGCTATAAAGTGATTATTTGTTGGTGTGGTAGTAAATAGATATTTACATGGTCTTCCCCTTTCTCTAATGGCATAAAAGACAGGGAGATTGGGACATGGAATATGTGAAAAGCATGTGGGAAGACACAAATTATTGACAGTGTTCCATTTCTTGGATTGCTGGTGTATTCCTCTTGATTATTATAGAATATAACAGATTTATGTACATGTATATTATTTTATATGGCTCAAAATTATAACACTTATGTAAGCGGGAAAAACAGGGATACGGTGATTTATTTGCTTTTCTACCATGCAGCAGTCATTGAACTTAGTGTGTGTGTTTTGCTGGGGAAATAAGGAAGCATTGGAGAGCTGCATTTACCCAAGCATTTTTTGTATTGGTTATTTACTCATTCAATAATAACTTAAAGATCAACTTAAGACACATTTGATTCATCATTCTTTCTCATCAGATCTTGTGATCTCTCATAGTCTAGTTGTGTACCACAAAACTTGGTAGCTTAAAGTAATAGCTATTTTACTATACCTCAAGATTTTGAGGTTCAGAAATTTAGGCAGTTAACTGCTGGACAATTCTGCTTCTTATGGCATCAGTTGAAATCACCTACTGATAGTCAGCTGTCAGAGGGGCTGGTCCAAGGAAGTTTCACTCACAATTGACATGTCCAGTGCATCAGGACCTCTACAGCGAGATAACATCAAGTAGTCAGACTTCTTATGTGAAGTCTCAGGTTTTCAAGAAGAATTTTTCCCATAAGCAAGGTGGAAGCTATATGGTATTTCTAGCTGTGTTAGTCCACTTTTTTCATTGCTATAAAGAAATACGTGAGACTGGGTAATTTATAAAGAAAAGAGCTGTAATTGGCTCATTGTTCTGCAGGCTGTATAGGAAGCATAGTGGCTTCTGCTTCTGGGGAAGCCTCAGGAAACTTACAATCATAGGAGAAGGCAAAGGGGGAACTGCCACTTCACATGGTGGGGCAGGAGAAGGAGAGGTGGGGTGGGAAGTTGCCACACATTTTTAAACAGCCAGATCTTATGAGAACTCTACCATGAGAACAGCACTAAAAGGATGGTGCTAAACCATTAGAAACTGCTCCCGTGATCCCATCACCTCCTACCATGCTCTACCTTCAGCACAGGGAATTACATGAGATTTGGGTGTGGACACAGATTCAAACCATATCATTCCTAGCCCCTCCTGGTCCCTCCCAAATCTCATGTCATTTTCATACTGGAAAGTACAACCATGCCTTCCCAACAGTCCCCAAAAGTCTTAACTCATTTCAACATTAACTCAAAGGTCCACAGTCCAATGTCCTGTCTGAGACAAGGCTAGCCCCTTCTGCCTATGAGCTTGTAAAATAAAAAACAAGTTAGTTACTCCCAAGCTACAATGGGGTACAGGCATTGGGTAAATACTCCTTTCTGAAAGGGAGAAATCAGCCAAAACAAAGGGGTTACAGGCTCATGTAAATCCAAAGCCTGGGAGGACAGTGATTAAACTTTAATCTCCAAAATAATCTCCTTTGACTCCATGTCCCACATCCATGACACGCTGGTGCAAGGGATGGGCTCCCAAAGCCTTGGACAGCTCTGCCCCTGTGACTTTGCAGGGTTTGGCCTCCACAGCTGCTCTCAAGAGCTGATGTTGAGTGTCTGTGGCTTTCCAGGTACAGGGCTTACCACTCTAGGACCTGGAGGATGGCGGCCCCCTTCTCACAGCTCCACTAGATAGTGCCATAATGGGGATTCTGTGTGGGGCTCCAACCCCACATTTCCTCTCCACACTGCCCTAGTAGAGATTCCCCGTGAGGTCTCTGCCCCTGAAGCAGGCTTCTGCTTAGACATTTAGGCTTTTCCATAAATCCTAAGACATCTAGGTGGAGGATCCCAAGCCTCAACTCTTGCATTCTGTTTACCCACAGGCTTTTCACCACATGGAAGCTGCCAGGGCTTATGGTTTGCACTCTCTGAGGCAGTGGCCTGAGCTTTACCTGGGCCTCTTTGAGCCAAAGCTGAAGCTAGAGCAGCTGGGATGCAGGGAGCATTGTCCCAATGCTCCACAGAGCAGTAGAGTCCTGGGCCTGGCCCATGAAACCATTTTTCCCCCCTAGGCCTCCAGGCCTGTGATGGAAGGGACAGCCAGGAAGATATCCAAAATGCCTTTAGGCCTTTCCCCCATTTTCTGTGCTATTAGCATTTGACTCCTTTTTACTTATGCAAATTTATGTAGCCTGCTTGAATTCCTCCCATGAAAATGGGCTTTTCTTTTCTATCAAATGGGCAGGCTGCAAATTTTTCAAATTTTTATGCTCTGCTTATCCTTTAAATATTAGTTCTAGTTTTACTAGAAATACCATTTGACCCAGCAATCCCATTACTGGCTATATACCCAAAGGATTATAAATCAATCTACTATAAAGACACATGCACACGTATGTTTACAGTGGCACTATTCACAAAAGCAAAGACTTGGAACCAACCCAAACATCCATCAGTGATAGACTGGATAAAGAAAATGTGGCACACAGACACTATGGAATACTATGCAGCCATAAAAAAGAATGAGTTCATTTCCTTTGCAGGGACATGGATGAAGCTGGAAAGCATCATTCTCAGCAAACTATCGCAAAAACAAAAAACCAAACACTGCATGTTCTCACTCATAAATGGGAGTTGAACAATGAGAACACATGGACACAGGGAGGGGAATATTACACACAAGGGCCTGTCAGGGGATGGGGGACTAGGGGAGGGATATCATTAGGAGAAATACCTAATGTAGGTGACGGGTTGATGGGTGCAGCAAACCACCATGGCATGTGTATGCCTATGTAACAAAATTGTACATTCTGCATATGTACCCCAAAACTTAAAATATTAAAAAGTAAATAAAATATATAAGTTCTAGTTTTACTTTATTTCTTTGCTCATACATATGAGCATAAGGTATTAGAAGCATTCAGGACACATCTTGAAAGCTTTGCTGTTTAAAAATTTATTCTGCCAGATACCCTAAATTATTACTCTCAAGTTTAAAGTTCCATAGATCCTTAGGGTTGGGCACAATGCCACCAGCTTCTTTGCTAAAATGTATTGAAACTGACATTTACTCCAGTTCCAAATAAGTTCCTCATTTCCATTTGAGATCTCATTAGTCAAGACTTTATTGTCCATATCACTATCAGCATTTTGGTCATAACAACTTAACAAGTCTCTAAGAAGTTCAAAATTTTCCCTCATCTTCCTCTCTTCTTCTGAGCTCTCCAAGGTTTTCCAACCTCTGCCTGTACCCACTTCCAAAGTTCACAATTTCGGATATCTTTAGAGCAATTACCCACTTCTCAGTAACATTTTTTCTGTATTAGTCTACTCTCACATTGCAATAAAAAATATTACCTGAGACTGAGTAATTTAAAAAGTAAAGAAACTTAATTGTCCCATGGTTCTGCAGGGTATACAGGAAGTGGCTTCTACTTCAATGGAGGCCTCGGGAAACTTAGAATCATGGCAGAAAGCAAAGGGGGAGCTGCCACTTCACATGGTGGAGCAGGAAGAAGAGATAAGAGGGGAGGTACTGCACACTTTAGAACAACCAGATCTCTTAAGAACTCTATCATGAAAACAGCACCAAAGTGATGGTGCTAAACCATTAGAAACTGCACCTGTGATCCAATAACCTCCTACCAGGCCCCACCTCCAGCACTGGGATTACATTACAACATGAGATTTGGGTAGGGACACAGATCCAAACCATATCACTAGCCTCAGAAGTAATGTGGCATCTTCTTTGAGTACTTTACCTTGGTAGATGTCACATACTTGTCCAGATTTAAAGGAAGTGGACAAGGACCCAGCAATATGCTCTTATTAGGCTGTATTTTTTTTTTCCGGCTCCTTGCTCTCATTCTTACCTTTGTCCTGTCTGTCTAGTCCACAATGGAAGGCTTAAAAGAGTGTCAAAGCCTTTGAGGAGTGGCAAAGAATTTGCAGCCATGGTTTAGAATCACCAAACTCATACACATATAGCATTCCCTTTTGTGCCATCATTTCATAGATTCTACATATTTACCAACTTTTTCAGTCATTTTCCTAGATGTCTCTGCATATCAGCTTCTAAACTGGTAAATTTTACCAGGACCCAGAATGAGGCCATAGAAAAGATGCTCTCTACTTTCTTTATGCATTTCCTTTGCATATATTGCCACTATTCAAACCTCTTTCACTGGTATAAATTGGTAAATGTGTCTGTTGTAAAAGATAGATAGATAGATAGATAGATAGATAGATAGATAGATAGATAGATAGATATAAAGAAAAAGGAAGAAAGAAAAAGAAAGAAGAAATAAAGATAGATGTAGATAGATAGACATAGATAGATAGATAGATAGATAGATAGATAGATAGATAGATAGATAGTTGATAGATAGATAGATAGAAAATCTTATCTCTAATTTAGTACAACTGATGATGGGAAAGTGTAATTCTTACCTTATGCTGTAGGTAGCATAGGGCTGTGCTACCTGCCTGCTTTAACAAGCATGCTTTTATTCTTGAAATTCTTCTGCAGCCTCACAGTCATTTCTTTCTTTTTCTTGTATTTGTTTTTTCTTTCACATTCAAAGACCCTTACCCCAAATCTCCTAACAACTCAGGGTAACTGTCAGGGAGGCAGTTGATTTACCCTTGGCACCAATTCTTTTTTTATTTTTTTTCCTTTTCCTCCCTCAAATTTGTACAGCTGGTTCTTATTAGATGGTTCTTTTTCAGCTCCTCTCTGTCATTCTTTGTCCTATCTATCTAGTCCACAGCTAGAAGGCTTAAAAAATGATTGTGAAAAGGTTCAACATGAACCCTCATATTTTCATTACCTTGCTATTATTATCAACTCATTTGTCAATCAGGTTTCATCTTTTCAATGTCTATAGAAATGTTTTTGCTTTAGAAGCAAACTGTGATATTCTATCATTGTCTCTATTTATTAGCTTAGATATTCGTATAACAAGAAAATATGTTTCATCAATGATTTGTATATCTGAAGTATTGTTCATGTAGGTAAGGTATGATAACTTTATTTTTTTCATGAATTTTCCAAAAATCAGTTTATTTCTTGAAATCTCCCGAAGAGGAAAAAAGATGCTTTTGTTTGCTTATGTGTTTACTTGCTTGTTTTCAGTATCCATATTTGCTCATGACTTTCAGCATACTTCATGAGTGTTAATCCATTGGAGTAATTAGTCAAATGATCTCATATTTAATCAGTGAACCTCTTCAGTTCTTTTGACATGACACTACTAAATGTTTATGACTTCACTTCTTTCTGGACTTTGCATTTCCTGCTCCTTTCAATGGAAATTTATTTAGAGATGTCAACTATGAAACTAGGGTGCTCACTGCTAGTAGATTTACCATCGTATCTGGGATTTTTGGTAGAAATGCACACAAACACACATATATTAATACACATACACACATGTAGACAAATATATAAATTATATGTATGTTTTCAAGACAAAAATATAAAATATTGAGATTATACTTACTGTCAAAAATGTGATACAGTTTTCATTCAAGTGAAAAGGCAGGAAGAAGGTCACAAGAAACTTTTGTTATAGAGTTCTTCCCTCAAACCCCAAAGAGCTAAATGCCATTCAGGTGATTAGCAGGATCAGCACTCTGAACAGGGAAAATCAGGACTGCTTTCCCTGTCTCACTCTTTTTTCCACTCTACTTCTTGATGATTAGTATTCTTTTAATGAGGTCAAAGAGAACCATTGCATAGAGATAAAGTCTTATATGTACACAGCTGGTATACATAATAAAATGTCTGAAATCCATTCACACTAAGAGAATAATTAGCTCATCCTCACAAGGGCAAATGATTTATAAACATGTTTTCTGTTTTCTAATGGAGTGAAGGATCATAACCGTAGAGTGGGGCAGGTTCCCAGTAGGTGCAATATCAAAAAGAAAAAAAAGTCCAAGGTTCCAAATACTATGAAATTCTCAAATCTCAGTTTTTGAGATGTTTTATTGCCCAATTAATTAAACATAAAACCTAGTTACCAGGTTCCTAGACAGGAGGAGAGAAAGAGCTGACTTAAATAAGAGATAAGGGTTTAAGTGGTTGAAAAGGAAAATTGAGGAATGAGACGGAAACTTAGCATAATTCAATGTTTTTGTTTGTTTTCCTAAATCTGTCTTTATTCACATTCAACAGGAACTGAACTGGCCAGAATCCTCATGTCTCACCCCCATACCATCTTCTACTATGCTAAGTAGCAAAACAGTGTCTTTCAAAATGTACTGAAGTGTTTCCTGAACCCCTTCTACATCTACCTCATGAAAAACATTCTGCTGGCCAGTCTTGCTCTGCAACATTGATTCAGAGTTTTTAATATTTTTTTGCTCTGTAATTAGTCAACTTGCTTTTTATAAAGCTCAAGTCCCAGAATATCCACTCATCAAAACTGCACCTTAGATGACTCAATACTGTTCTTTTCATGGTCTGTTTCTTCAGAGTTAAGGGCAGTGCCTGATTCAAGTGTTTGATTTTTTGTTTACTAAAAATCTCTAACAACATCCTTAGTGCCTACTACATGACAACTTCTGTATGTTATGGGTCCCCAACAGAGAGCAGAGAAAACTAAGCCCTCAAAGAGCAGACAGCAAGGAAACAGATAATTTCTATGCAAGACGATAAATGGGACAGTAAAAATAGCAGTTTCTGTGTTCTTATGTCTTAGCTCAGGCTGCTGTAACAGAGTACAAAAAACTGGGTGTCTTAAACAGCAAACATTTGTTTCTCACAGTTCAGGAAGCTGGAAGACCAAATTCAGTATGCCATCATGGGCTGGTTCTTGGTGAAAGCCCTCATCCTGGTTATGGATGACCACTTTTCTCTCTGTATCATCACATGGCACAGAGAAGACATAGAGAAAGCAAGCTCTCTACTGTCTTTTTATAAGGGCACTAATTCTGTTCATGAGGGCTCTACCTCATAACCTAATGACCTTCTAAAGTTTCCACCTCCTAACATCATCACAGTGTGGTTTAGGATTTCAACATATGAGTTTTGTGGGAACATAAATATTTAGGCTATAGCACCTTAAAAAAACTAAGGTATACCTATACTTGTATAGGTACACATTCAGATACATATGCATAATTATATTTATACCATTAAAAAATCAATCTCCTCCAGAATATATTGAATAGGGCAATTATTTAAACCCCCTTCTCTTTATTTATTTATTATTATTATTATTTTTTTTTTTTGATGGAGTCTCGCTCTGTCGTCCAGGCTGGAGTGCAGTGGCACGATCTTGGCTCACTGCAAGCTCCGCCTCCCGGGTTCACGCCATCCTACTGCCTAAACCTCCCAAGTAGCTGGGACTATAGGTGCCCACCACCACGCCTGGCTAAATTTTTTTTTTTTTTTTTTTTAAATAGAGACGGGGTTTTGCCTGGTTAGCCTGGATGGTCTCGATCTCCTGACCTTGTGATCCACCCGTCTGGGCCTCCCAAAGTGCTGGGATCACAGGTGTGAGCCAGTGCATCCCGCCCCCTTCTTTTCATTCTTATTTAACAAATAATGAGTAAATTATAATGGGGTTCAAGTTTTCATCATGAAAAAAAAAAAAAGAAATAAGCAAGGACGTTTTGTATGTGATGACTTGGGACTCTCTCCCAAGTGCTTTATGTACATTGATTCATTAACATTTTCATTGTAATTCTACAAGTCAGGTACTGTTACTGTCTTTCTCTTATTAGAGATTTAAAGCACAGAGACATGGCATACCTTGTTCAAGTTCACATTAGTAAATGATGAGGATTGCTGTCCTATATGTGATATTGAATGCTTATAGTGAGTAGACTGGGTAAATGAACATGACAATACACACTGTATAGACAATTTTAATAAAAGTATGTAGATCATCTGTTGAGAATGTATTCCTGCAAATCTATTGTTTCCATCATGATTCCTCAATCTGTAATATACATACAGGATTTGGCTCCTAATTATAAGTTCTGTGGGCCTTCATTATGTATTTTCCTGAACTCCACATGCTGGGACATTTAACTAGAATTTGTTCTACATAACCTTCTGCCATTTTTGAGTTTAACAGGCTTAGAAGTCCAGTGGTGACACACAAAACTTCACATTCAAAAGGCCTAAGAAAAAAGAAGTTAATTGGAGTCTACTTTAAATTCTGAAAAATTATTCTCCTCTTACATATGGATTTTCCCCCTCACCGTTTAATATTTTTTGTAGTGTATTCCTTTCATTATCTGCAGCGAAGTCCTTCTCACTCATATAACTTGCTCATTGTGGCATCAAACCTAGAAAATGTGTCTGTGAAATAGGTACACTAACATTTAGTATGACCTCAGATTTATCTCTTAAAAAATGTTTCTCAAAACTATATTCGTAGAAATAAGTTACTTTTATAGATTATTTGTCATTTTATTTTCCTTAGTAAATCTAATAATATGATTAGAATTGCTCAGATAATCTTCCATCTCAAGGTTTTATTCATTTCTGATTCATTGTGTCTATTATTAAAACCAGCTGTTGATGTTTTTGAACAAAGTGATTTCTGAATTAACTCTACATTGTGTTCTATAATAACCCCACTTCAGTATTATCATGGGTTGCTCCCAATTTACTTTTAGATAATTAAAGCCTCTCTTTATTTCTATCCAATTTGCCTGTTTTATTTCCCAGAACACAAGGATGTGATTTCATTCATGTTGCTCTAGGGGTCTAAAGTTGATAATCATTTTTCTACATCTGCCCTTGTCGATGTCTGCTTGCAATATATGTTGCTATATCCCCGCCCCTTGGCTTCCTCTCCTTAACATTCACATTCCTAATGATACATTATGTTTTTCTGCCACAGGCCATTTCTTGGTGTTTTCCAATAAAGTTGGTACCTTTGTATCAGAATTGTCCTAATTTCCCTAGCATATTAGATATTTATTCTATATTGACTTGTTTATGATGATTATTTACATGTGAATGCATCTGCCTCAGAACTGATGACAGCTCTAACTGAAATATGAAAAAATATACATTTCTCAATAACTGAATAAGCAATTTATAAGTTGGTAGAAGGAGAGAACAAAATCTGTATCATCAAAATAATAAGCAAAAAGTCATTGCTTATTTCTTGTTTTTTCCATGATGAAAACTTGAACCCCATTAAAATGTACTCATTATTTGTTAAATAAGAATAAAGAAAAAGGGGTTTTAATAATTGTCCTATCCAATATATTCTGGAGGAGACTGATTTTTAGAATGGTACAAATATAATTATGCATATGTATCTGAATGTGTACCTATACAAGTATAAGTGTACCTTATTATTATTTTTAATTTTTGAGACTAGCTTTCACTCTGTCACCCAGGCTGGAGTGCAGTGGCGAAATCATGGCTCACTGCAACCTCAGCCTCCCGGGCTCAAGAGATCTTTCTGCTTCAGCCTCCCAAGTAGCTGGGACTACAGGCATGAGCCACCAAGCCCAACCTTACTTTATACTGTATATGTTTTATATTAATATTTAATTATATTATCTATGATTCTTTACCAAATATCTACTACTAAAGTGATAAGATCAAATAATAGAATTTTTTATGAATTTGTGGAATTGCTACTTCTCTGTAGTTAGGATGTAAAACTGATTTGTCTAATATGAGTTTCTTAGCTTTCATAAATTCCTTTTTGTAGATTACCACTATTTTCTAGGACTTCCCAGTGCTAGTTTTCTAGGAAGACTATATCATTGTATCTTTTTTTTTTTTTTTTTGTAAAATAGTCATTGGGAAATATATTTTATGTAGCCAGGACATTTTCATAAAGTTAAAAATTACTATCTCATTATATGTCTGTATTTCTTTTTATTTAATAACATTCTTGTTTAATTGCTTTTTCTTAAACAGAATAGTACATCTGCACTGAAAAATCTATATTCCCAGAAAACAGGAAGGCACATTTTGAGATTATATGGATGAATTTAAGTAGTGATGTAAAAACACGTCAACTTTCTCTTGGAGACACCCAAACCTGTACATTTTCTCACAATTTTTGTCAATCGAAAATACATCTTCCCTTTAGTTTAGCATCTTTAAAAATATATATCAGTATGATTTGCCTTTTTAAGTATAAGATTTCCTTCCGTCTAAATTTTAATCTTTCTAACAGCATGTACTTGAAAAGAATTAGATTTAAAATTACAGTGATCCACATTTTCCTCTTACTTGCCAATACTTCCCACCATGTGGAATATATTATAAGCATTACCATTACCAGATGTGAAAGGCTTTTTGGAGAGCTTATCTATTTTACAAAAGGTAAGTCAGGAAAATAAACTCTTGAAATTTTAGTGCTCCTTCTACTTGTTAGTAAGGGGATGAGATAGTTATAGGAGTTTCTCTGTCTTTAGAATTTCAGAGAATTGACTAAGCGTAGGAACGGAATTTGGATGGTGATATCTGATGTCTAGATATCTTTCTGTAAAATACCTATGGTTTAATATATTTCTTATGCTGTAAACATGTCAAATCTTTTTAGTACCTAGGAAGAATGTAGATACTAAAATAAATAAAATTACCTTTTACAGTCACCATAATGACATTTCATTGTGAAAGTATAATCTTACTATGTTTTTCTTTTTTTTAATTTAATCTAGATACAGGTACTTTATTTACAAATATTTAGATTAATAGCATTTTGTTACATCAAATGAAGAGTACAGCAGTCTGAAAAAATCCTTCAATCACAAAAACAATAAAACCCACTGTAACTAACTTTGGGAGTCAGGGTATTGCACCTCAACAAGCCGCAGTCTTTAGTTTGTGATTGCTACCTTATATCCTAATGGGTGGTTTGCTTGTTTTGTTTTGTAAATATACACACTCACCAGCAGGTCATGGTCCCTAGGTGAATCCCTTGTGATGCAACAGTGTAAGCAAAATGGATCACTGTAAGTCTTTAACATAATATACCAATCTACTCCAGAAATCTTATTTTTTAAAAAGTTAAACAAAGACAAAAATAAAAATGAATCCACAAATTAACCAAAGCCTATTTTCTGCACATTCCAGTTTTGGCTTTTATTTAACATTGACTATACAACACTCTGGTGTTTTTCTTAATGTTATTGAGGACACAGAACTAAGTGACAATGAACTTGATGTTTGTGGGGTAAGAGTGACCTGCCTGAAATATACACAAAGGTTGCACGTGGAAGAATATTTTTTAAAAAGGTTGTATGTGTGGGACAGTTCAGATTATGGGTTTGTTAAACAGATTGTTTATTTCTTTGCTTTTTTAAAAAAAAAAACCACAGCCCTCTCTCTAGGCTTTTGCCTGATACAATGATTAATTTTCATGTAAAATTATCTCAGTATTTATTACCCAATAATATTCTCTTTTAGTCAGTGAGAACTAGGAAATTAGTAATAAAATCTGTTTATTATCGTTAGTGAAAATTTAGGTCCCCAAATAACTCAGATCTCTAAACACATGTTATAAACTTTTCAAACACTGAATATTTTTCAACTTGGCTTTTAAGTTGAAAACGTCACCAATGCTTCCAAAACCAAGAATTAAGTTAATGAGTTAAATCAATGTATTAACCTATTTCTAAACATGGGTTTTAGTTTAAAATTTAAACAAAAATTTGTTTTTAACAATTTATCTTGGCATTTAAGCAGGCTAAACTGCTATCTATCTTTTTCTGTAAATGTCAGTGAAAAATGTCAACTTCGAACTAGTGACACCATATTACACTGTTGTTTGTGTGTTTTGTTGCGTTACATACAAGATTTTCCTTATAGTTTATTTCTCTCTAAGAGGCAGTGCTTTGTTAATATGGCTGTGTACAATTTTCTGACAAGTGCTGAACCTACACTAACAAAAATGGTTCTTATTTATGATGTGTCAAATTACTGTTCTGAGAGCAGACCTTTTAGGTTGCATTCAGCCTTTAATGTGACTGAATTTAAATGGCATAAAATGCCTTTTAGTTGGGCCTTGGCTGGCATATTATATATCTCATTTCAATGAAAAACATTCACATGCAAATATGGTTTGTTTGGAGTGAGGACAAATGCTCCTATCATGACTGATGGAGGCTTTTGATCACAGTTCTACAAACTGAAACCTTAAAAAAGAAGAGGCTATTTGGACTGGCATCTGCAGTCCCATGAATTATTTAATTCACATTATTCATAAATCTCTTTGAAAAGGGGGTTTTATGAGGTTTTAAGGAGGAGTAGTCATAGTTGTGTTGCCAGCTTCAATGTACGCTGTAAGTGCTGTAAATGGCTGCCTGCAGATGAACGCTTTCTTTAAATGTTAACTATTCTATAGCCTGGAAAGTGTGTTACCTGAGTACTCTAGCAAATTAATCTCACAGCTCTCCGGAAATGGAATCAGGTGCCCATTCCTCTTTTACTACATCCACCACTGGGTCTAAAAAGTGGGATGAACATAATGCAGAACATTTCCTATAGTGTATGTATAGAGGTAGGTACAACAGAGCTATGGAACACCATTTTCTTATTACACCTTCATAGCATAACAAGCTAAAAGACCTCCTTCCTCCAAACACCATGATTCTTTTCTTCTCAGGGCCTTTGCACTGATGCTGTTGTCTGGAAAGACTTCTCTTGCTCTAGATTTCCAACCAGCTTTTCTTATGTGTGGAAATGATCTTTCTAAAACGTTACACTTATGTTCTATTTAAATTTTTTTTTCCCAGACAATAAATTTCAGGAAAACAGGGACTTGTATCATTTACGCTATTTGTCCCAGAACATTATCATATCTATAATTTATAGTGCATGTTAAATAAATGGCTTTTATATTATCTTGACTTGAATTACTCTCAAACTATGGCTCCTAAATGGAACATTGGATATATTTTATATTCTTTCCAGTTTGCATAGAGAGGTATAACTTCGAAATTGTTTCCACATCTGAAACATTGATTGAGGACAGTTTAATACAGAACTGCATTTTGAATTTTGAACTTCCTGTTTAGGAGCCTTCTATTGGCTTTCAGTTGGCACAGGGGTGTGACTCATGTTCAGACCTAGCCTTTAGCGCATGAGTCAGAATGCTGAATTATAATTTACTCATTGCATTTTTAAGTAATGCTTCCTAGTTTTAAAATTAATGAACAGTTGCAGTTTATGCTGCAGAATAGCTGTCTCTGCCCTTCTATTTAGAGTGCATGATATTTGATAATCAATGCTAGGAAGGCAGTTAGACCTGATAACCTTTGATGGTACCTTCTAACTCTGAGATTCTCTGAATCTCTGAAATCATGCCAGGTGGGATTTTAGGCTTAACATAGATTCAAATGCAAATAACCTGAATAAATTTGGTTACAATTTGACTATTTGAAAATCCTGAGAATTAATTATATTTTCCTTTCTCTATAAATTATATTTTCATGTAAACTGTTGGGATTTCTTAACATGTTTATTAGTATCTACAGTAAAGTAGTTTTTTAAATTATGGAAAATAGCATCATGATGCAAACATTTTCTTTGTGAATGAAATATATTATTGTTCAATAGATAATATGAACCAGTATCTGGGGACTGAAAGTTATGAGATATGTTTTCAGGGAAAGATCCCTGTGCTGGGACTTTGAAGACTTGGAACATTCTGGATCTTTCTCTTGTGTAGCTGGAGAATATAGAGAAAATCGCTTTTGTCCCCTAAGGCCTCAATTCCCACAAACACAATTTGAAATTAACACTGTCTGACTTCAGAGCTTCTTTGTGAATCCTTATAGAATCACAGATAAGGAAACTTTAAAAAAATAAAACATTAAGTTTCTTCTTTAACTGTGAGATTTACTAATATCACCTCTAAAACATTTAGGGCAGAACATAGTAAAGAAAACTTTCTGAAGAATTCATATTTCATTTAATTTAGTGAAGTTGTTGCTTGTTGTAGGTTTATTATCTTTTCCAATTTACATTCTAGATCACATTGGTTTGTTTGAAAACATCTTTCCTTCAAGGCGATCCCATTAACAAGTGAAGATAAAACTGTTTTTATTTTTCATTTTAAATATGGCTATTATAGATATTCAACCTCAAAGCAGAATGCTTCAATTTATGAAACAAAAATAAACACAAACACAAATAATGGCCTACTGTAATTTTTAAGATTAGGTATTTATTAATATATGAACTGTTACATATTATGATTATCTTACAGACATAAATTTAAAACCTTATTACTCTATGCAGCATTTGATATATAAAATGAACATAATGATCACCAGTTGAGCTTCATATTAGAAGTCAAAAGCCAGCAGCTCACTTACCTGTAGCGTAGTATGATGTAATCGTCTCACCTTCACTCAGTAGCATTGTGAGGTACTGGGAGAATTAGAATCCAGAATGTATTTCTGTACTTGACTTGATAAAAAGTATTTTGTTCCTCTCTTCAGTGACGAAACTTATTCCAAATGGCAATCTTTTGACTATAATTTCAAATTATCTGAATCTAAGGTAGTTACAGAATAATGTTACTACTAATTTTCTTGAGTGAATCATGAAAACTAATTTATTGCTTTGTATTCATAATTGTTTTCATATAGTCTTTCTCCTAAAATAGTTGTACTGTTCTAGAGATGAAAGACAGTTCATGACATTCTAAGATATTTGTAATCTAATTTGCTTCCACATGTGAAATACAGAGTGGTTTGTTTAGTATATCACAGTTATGTAGTTGGTAATTACAAGAGTTTTCATCTCTCTCTGCCATCCCCTCTACCCTTTGTTATCATATTTTAATAATGGACACTGAAATAACTTTTTCTCAAGTGATCTTTTAAACAGAGTCAGTAATAAACTTCCAAAGAAATTTTCCACAAAGCAGAAGATGCTGTCAGTATACCTAATACATTTTCTGAAACTGAACACTTAAGACCTTTTCCATTTTATTTTCATATGACCTGAGTACTGTTACCTATTGACATTTTACCAGTTGGGGCAGACTATGTTTGGAAGCTCCTTCCCTTCAAATATTAGACTAATAATTGTAATAATGCCTCAGAATATTTGACTCAAATGAAAAATATGTTTAGTTCAGATCATGTTAAGCTTTTTTTTTTCCCCAAATACTATTCATGTTTATTAACACTATATTTGGCACAGAAATCTAGGTCATGTTTGACTTTTTATTTCTTTATATATAACTTCAAAATTAACTTTTATAATACTTTTTAAATAAAATATCTTATGTCCCTAAAGTGGGCCAGATTGTGGCATATTTAATATGCATTTGCTTGTATGTTTTGAAATAGAGTTGTGAGATGCTTACCACATCTCAGAGAAATGTCATGTATACTGCCCTTACTTTTGTGAATTTCAGATTGAGATGTAGTCATAGATCTTCAGTTGTCCAACATTTGTTATTATGCCTTAAATAAACCTGTAATTTATCTCTTAAAACAGTGTTTTTGTTTTGGTTTGGTTTTCTGGAGACGAGAGTTTAACTCTTATCTCCCAGGCTGGAGTGAAGTGGCGCGACCTCGGCTCACTGCAACCTCCGCCTCCCGGGTTCAAGCCATTCTCCTGCCTCAGCCTCCCAAGTAGCTGGGATTACAGGCACCCGCTGCCACGCGGGACTAATTTTTTTGTATTTTTTAGTAGAGATGGCCCGCTGGCACGTGGGACTAACTTTTTTGTATTTTTTAGTACAGACGGGGTTTCGTCATGTTGGCCAGGCTGGTCTCATACTCCTCACCTCAGGTGATCCGCCCTTCTGGGCCTCCTAAAGTGCTGGGAATTACAGGCATGAGCCACCGTGCCTAGCCTAAACCATAGTTTATATCCTACAAAGCACTGGCTTTATCAATAATATATAGAAACATGAAATAGAAGGCAGAAGAACATAAGAAAAAAGGATGCCACTTAGGCACTCCATAAGACACTTACCCACTGAAACCACATAGCAATAACTCAGCTCTTACCTACCTATCTACAATTGAATTCTCAATGTGATTTTTCCTCCTGTCACTTGCGTCTATATGTCAGAGGTCCTTAATTATATTACGGTAAAAACTACTAAACATCACATCTAAAGAATTTAAATATGACATTTCTAAATGACCACATTTTCATCATTTGGTTTATGGAAATGATGGATTATAAATAGGTATCTACATGCTCTTTGAATTAGCATGCCTTAAATACAAAATATATGTTAAGTATTTGGACCTTAGTCCCTTTAGTGTGGGTGACTTAGTTTTAGGCAATTATGACCCTACCTGAAGTATAAGTCAAAATGAGATCAGAGAAGTGGTAGTACAGGGTATTTGATACGGTGGCTTTATGCACAACATTCTGGAGGTCACATTTTATCTTGCTCAAGCTCCTCTTTGGGGAGATTCACTAGAGGCCAGAACCAAGCAATTCTTGACCATATACTTACACATACAGAAACTTGCCTTGCCAGCTACACTAAAATGACTTCCTTTGGATCTCCTGGGAATTGAATAGGTTATTTGAAACCACACTGAAGTAGATTAAACTGAATCCCTTAAATTATTCCTAATCACATTCTCCATTTGCACAGCTTTTCCAGAATTGACTTACTATCTAGTAATAAAGAGTTAGGAAACACTGCATTTATGTTTGCTCAATGACTACTTGCTTGAACACAATAGGCCAGATCAACACATGGTCCTGAGTTTCACATCACTCTCTACTTAGTAATATCACCTCAAAAGCTAAGTACTTCTCTTATGAAAACTTTTTATTTTTCCTGTCAAATTTTGTTTTCTGTTTTTTGTTTGTTTGTTTGTTTTTTGAGATGGAGTCTCACTCTGTCACCCAGGCTGGAGTGCAGTGGTGGGATCTCGGCTCACTGCAAGCTCCACCTCCCGGGTTCACACCATTCTCCTGCCTCAGCCTCCTGAGTAACTGGGACTACAGACACCCGCCACCACGCCCGGCTAATTTTTTTGTATTTTTTTTAGTAGAGACGGGGTTTCACCGTGTTAGCTAGGATGGTCTCGATCTCCTGACCTCGTGATCCGCCCGCCTCAGCCTCCCAAAGTGCTGGGATTACACGTGTGAGCCACCGCGCCTGGCCCTGTTTATCTATTTTTACTTGACCTTATTCTGCTTCTTTTCCCACCTCCTTTTACTCCCCTCGTTAAGATGATGCTATAAACCCTTGAGATCTGGGTAATCTCCAGGTGGTGGTGTCCTCCTTTACATCAATGAGTACTAGTCATCCATTATAACCATTACAAAGCTGTTAACAGTCAATAAATGTGCTTACTAGGTGACACTTTAGTTTTCTAATTGCACACCATTCTCATTACTAATACAGAGTCCAATCATTATCGTTCCTGGAAAAAAAATTATCAGTGGTATAATATACATTTATACATTTATATAATGTATACATTTATAAATACATTTCTAATTACACATTTATGTGATTCTACAATATAGTATTCTCTATACACACATATATATATGCATATGCATAGGGAGAGAATGCTTATGACACATAATTTTTTACATGTCACCTTCTGCCTTAGCATATAAACTCTTAGTGGTAGATACCATCCCACTGTTAATTCTACATGACAGTCATGACAATGAGACCTTTGTTGGCTCAAAAATTTTTCAAAGAAGCATTATTTTGCTGCACTATTTTACCAATACCAATTATGAGCAAAAAGTATTTTTTTAGTTTGCATGCATTTAATCAGTAAAATAGAATGCATTTTAAAATAGATTAGTGAGTAAAAAGTTCAAATTAGGGTAGTAACTAATTAGAACAAAACATTAGAACACCCTGAAAATTAAAAAATGTGATGAATCTCACTGATTTTAGAAGTTAGTTTTTTGAATTTTTTGTTTGTTTTTAATTATACTTTAAGTTCTGGGATACATGTGCAGAACGTGCAGGTTTGTTACATAGATATTCATGTGCCATGGTGGTTTGCTTCACCCATCAATCCTTCATCTACATTAGGTATTTCTCTTAATGCTATCCCTCCCCTTGCCCTCCACCCGCTGACAGACCCCAGTGTGTGATGTTCGCCTCTCTGTGCCCATATGTTCTCATTGTTCAACTCCCACTTATGAGTGAGAACATGAGGCCTTTCGTTTTCAGTTCCTGTGTTAGTTTCCTGAGAATGATGGTTTCCAGCTTCATCCATATCCCTGCAAAGGACATGAAAGAATTATTTTTTATAGCTGCATAGTATTCCATGGTGTATATGTGCCACAATTTCTTTATCCAGTCTAACATTCATGGGCATTTGGGTTGGTTCCAAGTCTTTGCTATTGTGAATAGTGCTGCAATACACATGTGTGTGCCTGCATCTTTATAGTAGAATGATTTATAATCCTTTGGGTATATACCCAGTAATGGGATTGCTGGGTCAAATGGTATTTCTAGTTCTAGATCCTTGAGGAATTGCCACACTGTCTTCCACAATGTTTGAACTAATTTACACTCCCATCAACAGTGTAAAAGTGTTCCTATTTCTCCACATCCTCTCCAGCATCTGTTGTTTCCTGACTTTTTAATGATCACCATTCTAACTGCCATGAGATGGTATCTTATTGTGGTTTTGATTTGCATTTCTCTAATGACCAATGATGATGAGCTTTTCTTCATGTTTGTTGGCTGCATGAATGTCTTCTTTGGAGAAATGTCTGTTCATAACCTTTGCCCACTTTTTGATGGGGTTGTTTGTTTTTTTCTTGTAAACTTACTTAAGTTCCTTGTAGATTCTAGATATTAGACCTTTGTCAGATGGATAGATTGCAAAAATTTTCTCTAATTCTGTAGATTGCCTGTTCACTCTGATGACAGTTTCTTTTGCTCTTCAGAAGTTCTTTCATTTACTTAGATCCCATTTGTCAATGTTGTCTTTTGTGGCAATTGTTTCTGGTGTTTTAATCATGAAGTCTTTGCCCTTGCCTGAATGTTATTGCCTAGGTTTTATTCTAGGGTTTTTATGGTTTTAGTTCTTACATTTAAATCTTTAATCCATCTTGAGTTAATTTTTGTTAAGGTGTAAGGAAGGGGTCCAGTTTCAGTTTTCTGCATATGGCCATCCAGTTTTCCCAACACCATTTATTAAATGGGGAATCCTTTCCCCATTGCTAGTTTTTGTCAGGTTTTCAAAGATCAGATGGTTATAGATGCATGGTGCAATTTCTGAGGCCTCTGTTCTGTTCCATTGGTCTATATATCTGATTTGGTGCCAGAACCGTGCTGTTTTGGTTACTGTAGACTTGTAGCACAGTTTGAAGTCAGGTAGTGTGATGCCTCCAGCTTTGTTCTTTTTGATTAGGATTGTCTTGGCTATATGGGCTCTTTTTTGGTTCCATATCAAATTTAAAGTAGTTTTTTATAATTCTGTGAAGAAAGTCAGTTGTAGCTTGATGGGAATAGAATTGAATCTATAAATTACTTTGGGCTGTATGGCCATTTTTATGATATTTATTCTTCCTATCCATGAGCATGGAATGTTTTTCCATTTGTTTGTTTCCCCTCTTATTTCCTTGAGCAGTGGTTTGTAGTTCTCCTTGAAGAGGTCCTTCACATCCCTTGTAAGTTGTGTTCCTAGGTATTTATTCTCTTTGTGGCAATTGTGAATGGGACTTTGCTCATGATTTGGCTCTCTGTTTGTCTATTATTGCTGGATAGGAATGCTTGTGATTTTTGCACATTGATTTTGTATCCTGAGACTGCTGAAGTTGCTTATGAGCTTAAGGATTTAGGGGGCTGAGATGATGGGCTTTTCTAAATATACAATAATGTTATCTGCAAACAGGTAATTTGACTTCCTCTCTTCCTATTTGAATATCCTTTATTTCTTTCTCTCCCCTGATTGCCCTGGCCAGAACTTCCAATACTATGTTGAATAGGAGTTATGTGAGAGGGCATCCTTTTCTTGTGCCAGTTTTCAAAGGGAATGATTCCAGCTTTTGCCCATTCAGGATGATATTGGCTGTGGGTCATAAATAGTTCTTATTACTTTGAGATACATTCCTTCAATACCTAGTTTATTGAGTGTTTATAGCATGAAGCGTTGTTGAATTATATCGAAGGGCTTTTCTGCATCTATTGAGATAATCATGTGGTTTTGTGGGGGTTTTTGTTTGTTTGTTTTTTGGAGACAGAGTTGTACTCTTGTCGCCCAGGCTGGAGTGCAATGGCACTATCGTGGCTCACTGCAACCTCTGCCTCCCAGTTTCAAGCATTTCTCCTGCCTCAGCCTCCCAAGTATCTGGAATTACAGGCACCTGCCACCACGCCTGGCTAAATTTTTTGTATTTTTAGTAGAGATGGGGTTACACCATGTTGGCCAGGCTGGTCTTGAACTCCTCACTTCAGGTGATCTGCCCACCTTGGCCTCCCAAAATGCTGGGATTACAGGCTTAAGCCACCACGTCCAGCCAGAAGTTAGTTTTTTAAGGATGTGTCAATAAATATTTCTTACACCTAATAGTGTTCATGTCATTGGTAACATATTCTGAAGTGTGTATATTATATGTATATATAACCCATAAAAATTAGCCATTGAGAATATGGGGAATAACATGAAATGAGGTAAATCATCAACACTCTATTATGTTCCAGTTATAGATTTAGGGTATTTCTAAAATAGCTTTTTGGTTTAGTAATGTAGACATAAAATATAACTTCAAAGATTGCCCGTGTACTTTAGTTATTGAGAACCTTTTATTCCTGTACTTCCTTAAGGCTTTTGTAATAATAAATGGTTGAGACATCTAAGGGTTTGCATTTATCTTACAGAGTCACTTTTAGAGGCATGAGTTTAAGTTCTATTCTTGGCTGGAAAGCTTCCCTTTGTAACTATTGGGACAAAAGTCATAATCTTACAAGGAAATTGGGAAATATAGCATAAGAAAAAGAGATTTAAAAATTGGTACTGACTCATGAACTTTAAAGAGATGTTTGAAAGCAAAAGGAATAAATATAGAAAAAGATCATGTAAACATTTTATGTATAAACTATTTGTACTAGAACCATGAAAACGGTAGAGTGAAAAAAATTTAATATAAAATATCAGTTATTTTGCTATGTATAATTCAGTATTTATAAAGTGAGAAAACAGGGAAAATAAGTAATTATATAGATTACTGAAATCTCAAAATACACACAAAAAGTAGGTAAAATCTTACAATAAAGTTCTGTTTCACCTCTTTGGAAACAAAGTATTTATTTTATAGAGGAAATTAATGGTATTTTATTATTATTATTATTATTATTATTATTATTATTATTATTATTTTGAGACAGAGAGTCTCACTCTGTCAGCCAGGCTGGAGTGCAGTGGCACAATCTCAGTTCACTGCAACCTCCACTTTTCACATTCAAGCAATTCTCCTGTCTCAGCCACCCAAGTAGTTGGGATTACAGGTGCCCGCCACCACGCCTGGCTAATTTTTGTATTTTTAGTAGATATGAGGTTTCACCATATTGGTCAGGGTGGAAATATTCCATGTTCTTAAGACAGCATTTCATAGCCAAAATTACTTTCATTGTGCTTGTTTGTGTTGCACATATTGTAAGTAATTTACACATATGATAAATTGACCTCATTCTATGCAATTATCAATGGGTAGCCAACGCTGAACTATTTTATATACATTATCATATTAAATCATAGGAAAAGATGTGTTCAGAAATTGTAATACAGTTTACCCTTGAACAACATGGGGGTTAGGGCCACTGACTCCCCACCACAGTCAAAAATTCAAGGAAAACTCCTAACTCCCCAATAATTTAACTACCAATAGCCTGCTGTTGACTGGAAGCCTTATTGATAACATAAAGTGTGAATTCACACATATTTTGTATATGTATCATGTACTGTATTCTTAAAGTAAGCTAGAGTTTGGAAAATGTTATGAAGAGAATCATAAAGAGGAGAAAATATATTTACTCTTCATTAAGTGGAGGTGGATCATTATAGGATCTGAATCCTCATCTTCTTCACATTGATTAGGCTGAAAAGGAGGAGGAAAAGAAGGAACTGGTTATTCTATCTCAGGGATGGCAGAGGCAGGAGAAAATTTGCTTGTAAGTGGACTCATGCAGTTCAAATCTGTATTGCTCACGGGTCAACTGTACCTAAAACAGGAAAACATCCAAGTTTTACTTAAATATTTAAAACATGTTAACAGTTTTTTACTATCAAAAATTTCAAACACATACAAAAACAGGAAGAAAATATACTAAACATTGTACATCCCAAAATTATTATGAAATGGTTTTCACAAGTGTTTAATTTTGTAAAAAAAAAACAAAAAACAAGACTTAAAAAATATAGTCACAGTACTCTTATTATCCCATGTAAATATTAACAATAATTTCCTAACACTATGAAGTATCTAATGTTCAACTCAAGATCCACTGTAGTCTACACATGATAATTAATTGATGTGTCTTTTAGGTTTCTCCTCTAACTGGTATTTTCTGCCGTGAAATTTATTTGCTAAAGGAACCAAATGGCAAAATTGTGTGTCATTTCTCACATTCATTATTTTACTCATGGCCTCATTTGACTATTTTTTTTGTCCCCTGTATTTGTTGGACTTTGGAAGTTCAATGTAGAGACATAGTGCTATCCAGTTTTCATTATTTTGAAAAAATTCTTCCTTTGTGGTGTTGTGTCCATCGCTGAGGAGGAATATAATATCTGGTAGATTCCCTTTTACTGATATTACCTGAATGGTAATCATTGCCTAAATATGAGTATTTGCTAAAATTGCAGAATGGTGACTTTCTAATTCTTTTATTTCCTCTTTGTTTAGTAGCTGGAGTATTTCTATTAAGAGTTATTTCCATCCATCCAATATTTGGCTATGTAACTCCATAGCAAGTGTTTCTTTCTAAAACATTTTAAACCATTTTTACACTTTTTTCCTAGTATGATATTTGTGTGATTAAGAAAAAATAAAAACTAGTGAAATAAATTAAATTCTCACTTTTTCAAGTCTTTGAATTCTAATGAGGCTTAGAAGAAAATCTAGTACTTAGACAATGTTAGGTGATAGTTAAGAAAGATGCTATTTTAATAAGTTTCATGTGATTAGTGAAAAAATGTGTTTAACTTTGTGTTTGATGATTAAAGAAAGAAAACAAAAAGAGGAGAAAAGGTAGGCAGTTATCTAGCCCTCTACAGCAGATATTTTAATTTCTGTGTCTTAAAAGACAGTAATAATGTACTATCTGATAAATTAGATGTAGTAGAATTTCCCCTTTTCAAATCAGTGTTATTTCAATCATAAAGGAATAAAAATCATTGGTTTGTTGATTAACATTGCTGTGTTATATAATAGCTAATGGTTACTACATTTCGACGCAGTAGATTTTAAAATATATATATTCAGAAGTGTGTTTTTTCTCTGTAAATTCACCACTGAAGTGCTTTGTATTCTAAAAATGGCATTCCTCTTCTCTGAAGCACAGTTTTGTTACATGAGTGATCTCATTGTTTTCACTGTATTTATTCTGGGAAGTAGTGGCAATGCCATTATTTTAATAATTTGTAGTGTGTACTATAAGTGTAACTTTTCATATATGAAAACTTTATACTGCACAGCATCTTCCAATGGCAATGTTTTGTTTTGCTGCAAATACATTTGAATCAAGGGAAACATCTAATATATCTGAATATGAAGTTGTTATGGGATCTTTGGGGTGTCGTTTTTCTGGTCAGAAATTTCTGTGGCTGGTGGCACCTTTCCTGTGTTTTCCTCAGGCCTGCTGGGCTCATTTCACTCACTTGGCCTGGCAGGATGCACTCGGCTCACACTACTGGCCTGGGTCTCATGACTGCCAAGGGCGAGTGAGGTGTGGAATGGTGAGGGGTGTATGTGTGAGATGGGGTCCAGACACTGTGCACAGTCAGACATGCCAGGTGCTCCAGCAGGGCGGGCAGCTCCAGGTGCCGGCATGGGCACCAGCTCTCCGTGAGGCTGCAGCTGGACCAGGTGCACTGCAAGAAGCTTCCACAGCTGGCACCGGGAACCAAGGTAGTGCCTGGAAGCTTGGAGACTCTAGGAACTGCAGGGCCCCAAAGTGGGAGCCACAGCCCTGGAATGGGGTGCTCCCAGGTCTTGGCTCCCCGAAGGGCCACAGCTCTTCTTTTCTTGTCTTCTCCCACAATGTGGCAAGCAAGGAGCATGTCTCAGCTCTGTTTCTGTTACAGCTCTTTTAGCCTCATTTGTTGGGTACTGAATTCTTGCTCCACACCCAGGAAGAATGAGACATGCAGAAACATGGAGGGTGAGCAAGTTGAGGAGGAGCTTTATTGAGCAACAATAGGTCAGAGGAGGCCCTGGAGTGGGTAGTTCCTGTCTACGGGCAGGTTGTCACATAGAGTGTTCACCTCTCAGCAAGGAAGAGGCTCTGGAGTGAGTAGCTCCTTTCTGCAGCTCGTCTTCCTGACCTCCGCAGCTCTCAGCAGAGAGGAAGCCCTGAAGTGGGTAGCTCCTCTCTGCAGCTGGTTATCCTGATGTCTGCTACTCCTAGCAGAGAGGAGACCCTGGAGTGGGTAGCTCCTCTCTGCAGCTGGTTATCCTGGTGTCTGCTACTCTTAGCAGAGAGGAGACCCTGGAGTGGGTAGCTCCTCTCTGCAGCTGTTGGAATGGCAGTGGCTGCTCCACATGGACTGCCACTGCCATCAAAATCATAGATGTCAGGAATCTCTGTCTCTTTAAAAAATCTAAGCTCTAACTCTATTGCCTCCTCTTTTAAGAAAGAATTGTCCCTTATCTATAAATTTTTGCTTAGGAGGAAGGATAACAGACACAAGGCCCAAATCAAAATATTTCAATAAAATTCTACATAATCTTAAAATACAAAGATCCATAGTGCTTTAGCTCTCCCTGCATAAATACCAGTAATGTCCTTGCTAACTATTTACAAAATGTTTCCTTGACGAATAACTTTCTAACAAACACTTCTAAAGGCACCAGTAAATCCAGTAAGCTCTATATTACCCATATATTGCAAATAATGTTAAAAATATATGACCCTTGTGTTATGACAGTAAATGTTAAAATAAGAAGCCAGAATAAAAGAATAGCAAAAATGTGACTAGTCATATCAGTCTTGAGACGGGTGAAATTTATCTAATCTCTTCTGAGAATGCCTTCATACCCTACTAATAGTCCCTGAATTCCATTTCAAGAAATGCATTTTAAGAGTCCCTAAATCTTTGAGAAAATATTAGACAGAGATACATCTTCCAAATAGCCAGACAAGTGTCTAATTTAAAACTGATTAAACAAATCAGTAACCTAGTCAATTATATTTGTACTTTATGATTATTTGTACTGATGTTTTTTCAGATAAACTTTATTAATATAATGACTAACATTCACTAACCCTTCAGCATTTCTACATAAATAGCTATGGTAATTATTTTATCATTCACATGATTTTTCCTCACATATATATACGTGTTTTCACAAACTTATGTAAAATCATGTGAAATCAATATTATAATTCTCACCATTTACAATTTTAATATTATAACGAACAATCTCTGAAAAAAGTAGTATGAATAATTGTGTTATAGTAACAATTTGCTGCTTTTATTATAAAGACAAAAAATGGTGTCATATCTAAAACTTTTCTCTGGTCAAAGTATCTTTAATTCTGTTCTGTTTATTTTATCTATAAACAGTTAAAATTGCATTTTTAAGATAATTTTCGGTCACTTGGGGTGGTGTGCAATGTGCACTTTACAATTGACTTCTAATTGGACTATGCTGACAATGGAAAATCTTACAAGTATTGAACATGACATTCATGACAGTATTCCTGTCATCTTGGCTTCTTTTATTGAATATGCAGAGAATTATAATTGAGCTAACAAGCCTGATAGCCTGGCCTCTTTCCAATTATATTAACCTAGTCTAGTATTAGCTGCCGGCATACAGAAACAGGCATAGAGCTTTTGTTTTTCTTTCTATTCTATGTTGGTACCTGCCCAACAATCAAAGGATAAAATCCTCTGTCTTCATACAATGTTTGAGAATTGTCAGTAACTTATCTCCAATCCACTGATAAATGTAAAGATTAGCTTTATCCATCATTATTTCACTAATTTATGATAAAATGATTTCTTATAAAAGATTGGTTGTATCTGTTACATGTTAGATGCTAATTAATTATTATTGTTCCAAAACTTTATAAGGTTTTGGCATGTTTTCTTTGAATTCATGCTAAAATTTTTCAAGTGATGAATTTGAGTTTGAAGCAAATTTGTTCTTCAAATGAACAAGTCAATTTATTGATGCATTGTAATCTTTCCTTTGAAATTGAGACAAACATTATTTTAGCATAATCTAAAAATAACTCAGTCTTAAAAACAAACAATACACACAAAAAATAACTAAATAAAAAAGGAAAATAATTTTAAATTATTTTCACTTAAAATCCACTAACATTTTACCAAGGAATCCAATTAAAACAAATAGTAGGTAAAGTTAAATAAACCAATTTATGATTTTAAAGATATGAAGAATTTGTAGTGTATCAGTTGTTTGAAATAGTAGATTCTGTGCTTTACTTTCTCTCTTCCTTTTTTTCTCTTGTTTTAGTGATCTCTTATTTTAGAATATGTAATATACTTGCACACTTTCTCTCCAAATATTTCCAACTCTTCCATTTTCAATATTTAAGTCTTCATCTTTATCCAGGATTTTCTGAGTAGAAATGTGAAGACAACCTGGAAATTTATGTCCTGAAGAAATAAAGCACTACAACAGTGCCTAAGAGATATGCCATAAAGATGCATGTTGCAAAACTGTTGTTAGCAAAAAAAAAACAGAATACAGCAAGATGCTCCCAAACCACAAACCTGTTGATAATACAAAATAGTTCCATACTTCATATAAACTACATAAAAATATGCAACTATTAAAATGAATAAGTTAGCACTCCGTGTTTTAACCTGGAAATGTGGGAAAAGCAGACTGCAAATTAATGTGTATAGTAAAATCTTCTTCTGGAAACAAAATGCACACTTTTTTTTTAGGTTTTTATAAGAACTGCAAATTTTATTTTTTATCGTTAAGAAATTGCTGGCATTGATTATCTCAGTTGCTGACATTGGAAAGGAAGAGGGGATATTGTTTACTTTGCTATATTACCTGTAATTTTTGATATATATCAATTTTGTACTTAAACAATTAAGCCAAAACATTCATTAAAGGAATGTAGATTTTTGATGAAATTGAATTTTAAAACTTAAGTTTTGATATTAAATATTTTAGTGGGCTTTAAATTTTATGAATTATTGCATCATAAGTAGTAAATATATCAAAGAACAGATAATAGTTACACTTTGAATTTTAAGTTACTTTAAAAAAAATCTTCACAATAATATTGTAAGTAGTCTACCACTTTGTCTATGTCCATTTGAGAGCTGTGAAATAAAAGAGTTTGAATGGGTCAAGGACTTAATCCAGATTTCCTAAAATAACTTTGTTTTTAGTTAAGATGTTTTTGTCTGGTAAAAATTTTATTATTTTAAAACTAGGATGTTCATTTTAAAATAAACTAGTAGCATATATATGCAAATAGTAAGGCAGTTTTTGTTATTGTAGATGAAAACAAAAATTATCTGTAAGTAGCCTGGTATGTACACAGACTTTCTAAATTTTTTTTAGCTCCAGGCAACTTGAAAGAATGAAGTCGAAATTAGAACTTTTCATGTGTAGTTCATAATTACTAGATCTAAAATCTATGTTAAATTTTACTAAAGGTCAGTCCACCAAACAAGACTGCACATTTCCCAATTAGGAGATGGACTATTTCCTCCTTAACATCATTTAGAAAGCCAGAACCCATTCCTGCTTTTGTCTATCTTCATTTTTCAATAGTAAGTCAAAGTAGACTATATCACTTCAGAAGTATTTAGAGGTATCTAATTACGCATTTTGAACAGAAGTTTTCCTTTGAGTAAGGGACTGTCCTGTAGGACTGTTCTAATTTTCTTGTTAACTTGACTTCTGCTTTAAACAATGTTTACCACTAGATATAAGCTTATACTTCAGCTTATTAATGGAAATAATGCCATTTAAAGTAATACAGTTTTCTAGTCTCATGTTTATGTGTCAACCAAGTACCAAAATTGCTGGAGTTTAGTGAATCATATAATTTTTATTTGGCTTTGTAGAACTGATGCTTGCAATTTAGTGGATCAATCAGTTCCTTAAATACCAATAGCTTAAGGTAATATTTTACAGCACAGATTCTGGAGTCAGATACACCTAGAATCAAATCCCAAATCTGCTTTCCAGATGTGTCATCTTCAGCAAGTAATTTGACCTTTCTCATTCCCAGTTTCCACATCTATGAGGAAGGGCAACAAAACTTACTTCTCACAGTTGTCATTATTAAGTGGTAGATGTATGGAAAGTCAGTCTCTGGCATTTAGAAAGCACTCAAATGATGGAAGTGGCCTGCTTTTCTAGTTACTCAAATATCATGGGGTTACAATCTGATTGTTAAATAGTATTAAGTATATTTAAACTATATATAATTTTAATTGATTATTAAATAAAATTTAGAGTTAAGAAGAACTTAAAGTTATACATTCCATTAAAGGAATATGGTGACTTGTAGTGTTTGGAATGTGTAGTACATGGCTCCTGTCTGCTCTTACTTTGTCTTACTCAAGGATCTTACTCATAACACTAACTAAATGTAACAATAGTCATTTTGTTTCTTAGGCTGTTGATCATGAAATCACAAATGTACTCTTTAGACTTTAATAGCAATAACATCTCTGCTTTCTTACTAGAGAATCTGTCTAATATCTAATATGTTTGTTCTCTTCTTGTGCAACCTTTCCTTGGTACCAGCGGCTGCTTCAAAGAATAAAGTTAAAGGTGAGCTCCTGTTTATTCTGCATGAGTCATCATCATTCATTTTTCTGCTCAATCTTCTAAGTTCTCTTAAATGATAGAACCAATTCGGTTGGTGATAATACTATTTCAGTGTATAGATATTGTTCATAAATTCCTACAAATACAAATATCAATTATTTCAGTTATCCAATTTCTGAGACATGTTTGCATGAATGTTTGTGAGTTTGTTTTCTTGTTTCACTTCTCACTTTATTCCTAAGTATTTCAAAGTGCAATAAAGTGCTTTTTTTGCACTAACATTTTGCATGCGTACCTTAGTTTCCTTGATAAAATTGAGAATTGGGCAAAATACAGCATAAAATAAAACTGATGGAAAGTCTCAAAAATGAGTATGCTTTTATAGAATTATGTGAAAATAAAATTTAATCTTCTAAAAACTGAATATTATAAGCTATCGATTTCTATTTATGATTATTTTTTCATTTTTAGTTGCATTGTTTGACTTTGCTAGAAACCTAAAAATGTGTTTTCATGATAAAAGATGCACATGTCCAACGCTGAAAATAAAGAAAAAGTATTTTGGCTCCATGTGTCCCAGTTTTTATGGGTTTGAAAAATTCAAATACATGTATGATACTGTATCATAGACCTATCATTTATGTATTTCAATTTCATTCTGTTTAGAGCAGTCTACATATTTAAAAATCTTTTTTGCTTTTGCTTCTTAAATAGCAAAAGAAATTTTTTTCTCTTTCAGTTCCAGGTTCTAGTTTTACAGCTAGTTTTAATACTATGACATACGCTCATCTTTGAAGTGTTAACTATTCCCTATTTATAAAGTCAAGCCTTTATCATACAACTAATATTGTCATAGCAATGTATTTGCTTATAGAATATGAAATATTTAAAGGAGGAGATGGCAAATTTATTGTCACCTTTCTTATAGCTCACCTAGCCTTGTTTCCTGTTCCAGTAAGTGTTGTGGAAAATCAGCCAATCCTTGCCACAGTAATTTTCTGTCTGGCTGTGAACAAAATAAATACATTCACAGCAATTCAGAAATTATTTGATAATGAATACATGTCTATAAATGTATAAGCACAATATGTTTATATAATGAAAGGATGAGAAGTGTAGTTTTAGGAATGAGGAATTACAAACTATACACACTGCACCAGCTCCAGGGTACAGCATATGAGTGTAAAGGGAACCAGGGGGAGATGCATATCAGCACTGGAATCATCAGAGACCACTTTATGTAGGAGGTGGAGCTGGAAGTGGCTCTTGAAGGATGGATAGGATGTACATAGAAAACAAGTAGTGTATTTAAAAAAATAATTAGAAAGGCTAACTAAAGGTCTGGAAACAGGAGTGAATACAGTCTAGTGTGGTGAGAAAATCTTTTGAATGAAACCTGGTACTTTTATAAGAAAGTGTAGAAAAATAAATTCTAAGATGATGCAATAGACAATGGAGTGATTATGAGTCATTACAGTATTTGATCACATAAAACCTCTAGTAATCAATTACTCTCCAAAACAATGGAAAATAATTTGAATTATAATACGCAGGCTGCTAAGTATTAAATATGGAAAAGCCATTTCATCATTGGAGAATTATAGTCATAAATTATATTACAGGTATCTGTCAAGTCATTTCAGGACTCAAGCTGACTAGAATTTTATAATGCAAGCATATTTCTGTATCCAATTTAGTGCCTTCCACACTTCCATCCCCAGTGTTCCACACTTAGCCATTTTATTTGACTCTCCTCTTTTTACTTGTATACTAGCCTGTAGGGGCCTTAACACATAGCTTTCCGCATGCTTATATTTTTGCATCTACAAGGCAAGCAATGACACGTTCAAAAATTAATTGTGCCTCAAGTGGAAACTGAAATTTTATTTCTAACCATTGCTGAAGAAAGATATATATTATGTAGAGATAATAGAAAGAATTACTCAGTGATTTTTTGGTCCAATTTCTATATGAAGGCAAATGGTCTTCAAACAGAAAAAAAAAAGTGGATAAGAGGAAAATAAAACCCAAGATAATATAAGAGCAGATGGTTGCTTCAGAATAGTTCATTTCTCCTGGCCCAGAAAAAGTACTTACCAGGGAACCGAGAGAAATTTTAAAGAAGATTATATCTCATTTATCTATCCTTATGGAATCACGCAAATGTGGAAAGTTTCTGGAATATTGGAGAGAGGAATGTGTTCTGATTTTTTGTAAGGAGTAATGATTTCATTTCCAGAAACCATAAACTGGTCATTTTGACATCAATTTCCCAGTAAGATTTTTAAACACTCTTAAAACAACAGTTGGTGGGTATTTAGGTTAAAACAGAGTTCATTGAGAATCAGTCAGAAATTATTAGTAATAGCATAGGAAATTACACCTTCTTTTTTTAAATGTGAGTTACTATACCAGTATAGGAGGGCAGTAGCATAGACATAATATACCTGAATTTTATCAAATAATGTAGCAACTAGCTCTTTGCTTATTTCTGTAGAAACTTATTCTGAAGATCACTAATTATTCTCCAATGGCCAAATCCAAGGGTGGTTTCTCAATCCTCATATTGCTATTTTTTTCCTGATGAACATATTATATTCTTTTGAATTTACATTTCCTTTGGTTTCAGTGGCACTGTACATACTTCATTTTTTAAAACTTCTCTTTGCCTCTTTCTTTCTCTCTCCATTTATATCTTGTTCTGAAATACAGGTTTTATTCAGGTTGTCTTTGATTCTTGAAAAGATCAACTATTGTAGTGTAGGTTCAGCTTTCCACACTGCCTTTGAGAGATAAACTTCACTTCCTACAAAATAAAGAATGGGGCCATTTTCTAGACAATTGTGTACCTGCAACCAACCTGTCTCACTATTGTTGCCTGTCAAGAGGAACATAAATGACCCAGTCGAGTTGCTTCTCAGAAAACTTATAACTGGGAAAGGGCTAGAGAGAGAGAGAGGGAAAAGTCAAGGAGGTAAGACAAAGAAACAGAGATGGTTGATCAGTTCTGTTACTCTTCACGCGTAAATTTTGTATGTAGATTTAATAAAATGAATTAAGGTTGACAAATGCCACAAGAAGGAAGGAGGACTCTATGAAGAGTGAGAGATTGAGAGAGTACTCTGCTGGTGCACTAGCTTCTTGGTCTAACGTATTGCTAAGGCTCTATTTTATCTTTACTCTCTGGGTCTATGACACAGATGTCTTTTAATAAAAATTTCTAGATAGGTTTCTCTTGCTTAGAATCAAAAGAGAAATAATATGAATGTTTTCTTTCTAAGGGTTTTTTCATTGACTTTGTTACACTTTTCTGAACTTGACTTAACTGTTAAGCTTTTGTCTGATATTTTCATCACCCTGCTGAATATTTCCACTTTAATATTAGAAACCGATATTCTTATTTATTTACTTATTTTGTAACTAAGAACCCTCTGGGTTTGCTATATGTTCTCATGACATGAATATTAGTCCAATTTTCTAAGTTTAAAAGATTTGAAATACCTTTAACTTCTCTTTCTTAATGGCCCTCTCATCCAATTAATTATCAAATTGTCCTAATTTTATCCCTATAGTGTCTTTTGCATGAATCCTTATTCTTTGAATCTCTCATTCCTGGCCGGGTGCAGTGGCTCATGCCTGTAATCCCAGCACTTTGGGAGGTCAAGGCAGGTGGATCACTTGAGGTCAGGAATTTGAGATCAGCCTGGCCAACATGGTGAAACCCCATCTCTACTAAAAATACAAAAAATAGGCAGGTGTGGTGATGGTCCCCTGTAATCCCAGCTACTCAGGAGGCTGAGGCAGGAGAATCTCTTGACCCAGGGAGGCGGAGCCTGCAGTGAGCTGAGATTCTGCCACTGCACTCCAGCCTGGGTAACAGAGGCAGACTCTGTCTAAATAAAATAAAATAAAATAAAATAAAATAAAATAAAATATAAAAAATCTCATTCTTCAGAGCTTGCCTGAAATAGTTTCTAACTTGTCTCCTGATTCAATTCTCAACATGCTACATTTGATATACAAGTCTATCCTACATTTGTATATCATGCTGAATTTTAACAAGATCATCACTGCTTTGCCACTTAGAGGAGAAAGGTACTTTAAAGTAGTCTTAAAATTTCTTTGTATAAAATAATTTTATTTCACTCTGTTATGCATGTATAAAAATAGGCTAAATGTATCTTAATGACTGCTCCAAAATGTTACAATTTTTTAAATAGCTTTAACCCAGAAAAAATATTTTTAGTCTTTAATCCTGATTTGGGGGCTTTATTTTTAAGCAAAATTTGGCAACTATAGTTCTATGCTATTTCTAGAATGCCAGCTTTTAGATATTATTTTCAAAGCGAATGTCTTAAATCTCAACAATCATGTAATCATTATTCAGTGCTCAAATAAAAATTAACATAATTATTCTGACTTTGCTTAAGAATTAAGATAATGCAGAGCCCTTAGCTATCTAAATTGAGATATATATGGTTCAAAGGAGAATCAGTATTTCAATTTGCTGAGTTTGTTAAGTAATAGTCATACATAATATTATCACATAAATGATTTATTCATAGGAGAATATTATAAATCTGCTATAAAGCCAAAATATGACATTTGGAATCCCAGGCTACCCATCATATGAAAAATTTTGGAGGTTAATTGAAAGGCATGTAAGAGGCTGAAGTTGAGACATTGCTTCAAACTATTTTGAGATTTTTATCTTAAGTCAGGTGCCTATATTTTAATTTGTATCATGTAGTATTTCTTATATATTAAGACTTACATTTTGTAGTCAGACAGGAATATGTTGAATCTTTGTTTTGCAACTCGCTAGATTTGAGCACCTGGACAAATTTTCATTAAAGTTCACACAACATTCAGTTGTGACAATTTTATTGGATAAAGCACACAAAAAAGGATTGACATAGGGAATGGAACACAGTGAGCACTTAGTAAATTGTACCTATTATTATTATTACTATCACAATTTAAATTATATCTGTGGGAAAAATGAACAAACACAAAAACATGTAGTCCTAGGTAAGTCCCAAAACTAAAACTTTTCTGTAAGTTTCACTATATTTCCTCTTCATAATGGCATTCATATGTTTATATTCATTATAAGACTAAAATAAACACATACAGTATAAGATGTGAATGATCCACTAGGTATATGTTTTTCTTTCATCACCTTTAATATTAAAAAACAAAGTACATAAATGATATTATTAAATAATTTCAACCACAAGTGAAATAAAAAATTTGAGAAAATTATGACAAAGAGAGGCTTATATAATACTTAAAATGTAAAAATATCCTGCTTTTATTATCAGTGAAGAAATTAAGTAATGAGGCCATAATATATTTTTTTTGAAAATATCACTTAACTACTTTTTTAAAGCTATTTTTAGATTGTAATTTTAAAAGTGGGCCGGGTGTGATGGCTCACACCTGTGATCCCAGCAGTTTTGGAGGCCAAGGCAAGTGGATCACTTGAGGTCATGAGATCAAGACCAGGCTGGCCAACATGGTGAAAACCCATCTCTACTAAGAATACCAAAAAAAAAAAAAAAAAAAAATTGCTGAGCGTGGCACACGCCTGTAATCCCAGCTACTTCAGAGGCTGAGGCAGGAGAATCACTTGAACCTGGGAGGCGGAGTTTGCAGTGAACCGAAATCACACCATTGCACTCCAGCCTGGGCGACAGAGGGAGACTCTGTCTCAAAAAAAAAAGAAAAAAAGTGTAAGACACAATTCAAATTCTTGCATAACAGCTACAAAATCTTCATAAAAAACGAATCAGGAGTCAATTATTGAAGTTTATGCTTATTCTACACAAGACTGATCTAAGGAAATATGTGTCAGGGGCGTTAGACATATAGAAGGGAATTTAAAAGCATATTGTATTTCTGTAACACATATTTCATTTAGGGATTCAGGTGGAAGACCCCGAGCTAGTACCTTTAGGAAGATTGCCTTCTAAATCTACCTTCTAGTTCACCTCACTTCTCTAAGAAAATTGCTGAAGACACTGCTATATAATAGTGCAATAATGTTTATTAAGATATATTACTGCAGCTTTTTTCTAACTTTTAAAAAAGTAAGTAACAATGATAATTATAACAGCTAATATTTCTTAAATGTTACCATGTGTGAGACATTGTGCTAAGCATTCGTAGGTGTTTTCTCTTTCAATCCATACAAAACCCTCTGAGATAGGTACCATTTTATCGTCATTTTCAAAATGTGGAAAATGAAGCAGAGTTAAGAAATTTAAGTTCACAAAATGAGTAAGAGGCAGGGCAAAAATTCTAAGCCAGACATATTAACTCCTGAATTCAAGCTTTTAATCTATTAAATCCTCTAAAGAGATCAGATTAATCAATATTACAACTTACCTGAATCTCATTCATTTAAATGCATTTACATATATACCACCCACCCAGATGGGAGTAGGGTTGGGAGTAGGGATAATATAGCCTGATGAGTAGCTAGCAAGAATATATTGGACCAGCTTAGTTGGGTCCACTGGCCAGAAAAATATTCTCCAGGTAAATCTGGCATTTCTCATTCTTTTAAAACTCTCCTTCTTCTAGGTCTGTCATTCACTTACCTTATGTTAACCTCACTTATTCCCTCTTGGGAAAGTGAGAAGGTAATTAGTTTCTCAATAAGATGAGTAAGGTTCTAGAAAAGCTTCAGGCACAGCTAATGTGAAGTGCTGAACTCAGAAGAAACAAACAGAGGTAAGGAGTGTGCTCATAAAAATTTTATTGTAAGATGACCCAGTGGGTCAAAATATAAGTAATTTTAGTTGTTTCTAAAGTGCAGCTTCATTCGATGTGGTTTCTGTTTCTTATTTCTCACTGTATAGGGATATTGACATGCATTTGCTCTATGGATTATCTCATTACTTTCTGTTGCATAACTGTCCCCTTTCATGTTGCAAAGTACAAACTAGTCTGGGTCACAATGGAGAGAGAGTGTTATATATTCCATTTGCAAGTCTAAAATAATATTATTTCCAATTGATTTAATGGAGGTGCATTTTCTCCATCTCTCTTTGTTTCTTGAAATGCAAAAATAGGTTTGAGCTTCACTGTGCACATGTGGATAAATACAACTCATTTGCCATGAAAACAAGGCTCAATTTTGTATAGCAATTAGAAATCAGTTTAAGCATTGCTACTTTAAGTTTGTATCCTCATTTCTACAATAAATAAATCATTATAATACTTTTTTATTCTGTCTAAACACATCTCATCTGAAAGGCAAGATCTTCTGGGACTCAATTCATTCAGTTGGTTCATGTCATTCTATTATGCTAATAAAATTGGTATTTGCTTATTCTACAGCTTCTGTGTGGGGGTTTAGAAAGTCTGTAATTAAATTCCCAAGATTTGTGGCTTCTTACAGGTTTTGAAACAGAAAAAAGTCTGTAATAAGGAGAAACAGAATGATCAATGTGTAGCAGTTAGTGGGACATTTTTAAAACAATGCTACAACACCAAAATTTAAGTTACACTAAAAATAAATGTAATTTACTGTATTTCAAATTTGATGGAATTATGGTTACATATTTTTAATGAAAAAAATTAATTTATCCTGATATATAATGGTTATCACTGGCAAAGTGTACAATTAAAAAGCTTTGGGGAAAGTTATCAGAATTCCTGGGTTCTAGGGTCTGTTCAATTATTGATTTGATCTTCAATCAAGCATCACTCTTTGGGGACACTAAGACCCTGCTGCTTTGCTCATGGTCAGGAAATTCAATGCCCAAATAGGAGAAGTCATGTAATATCCTATATAATTCCTAAGAGATATTTCCAAATGAGAACACATGGCACTCTCAATGCAGGGAGACTGTATATGAATCCTGCCTTACCCCCAGTGTGGTCTATTTTGGAGGTACACAAACATTTACATGTAGCACTATGATAAGATACAATGGAGATTATATATATATAATTTGACACATACACACATACACACACATACATATATATATACATATATGATTATATATAATTTGACACATATACACATACACATATATATACATACATATATGTATATATACATAACTCACCATATCTCTCTCTTTTTCTGCCTTTTTTCTTTTTAAATATAATATGTATATTTTAAATATAATATATATATTTTAAATATAATGTGTATATCTTTTTAAATATAATATGTATACATACATATATGTATATATACATATACATAACTCACCATATGTCTCTTTCTTTTTCTGCCTTTTTTCTTTTTAAATATAATAGACACGTTAAGGGAATCCAAGTTTTAAAAACTCTTAGTCATTTTCAGGAGATTTCTTAAAACAACCCACAACATAGTAAGAGATATAGTAAAAGAGCATTTCTTATCATCTTTATTTGTTCTATTTTAAAATGTAGCAACTAGAAATATATATATGTGTGTGTGTGTGTGTGTGTATGTGTGTGTGTTGTGAATATGTTCTTTATTTTTTACTGCATGGAGCTGTCATTCACTCAATAATTCAATCATTTCTTTACCCAAAATTTCCAGGGACTCCTGGAAATACATCAGTTTAAGAAAAAAACTTACATACTGTCGTATGTTACAATGTAGTATCCATTATGAAGAATAAAGTGGAAGAATGAGTTAGGAATACTTGGGCAGAGTAGAAAAGACAGTGGTTCTAATTTTGAGTCGGTAGACCAGGAAAAGTGGACATTTGAACAGAAAATTGATGGCGAGGAAGCAAGCCATGCCAATGGAAACAATCCAAGAAGAGGAAACAGCAAAGACAAAGGCCTTAAGGCAGAAAGTGGCCTAACTTATTTGAGCAATATTCAACAGCCCTGTAAGAATAGAAAAGCATGAGCCTGGGACAGTATGTTAGAGAGAGGGTCATAGAGGGAATGGAGACACAGGTCATGTAAGGATTTTTGGTATCCTTCAAGTGAAGTAGAGAGCCATGGGAAGTTTCAGCAGAAGAGAAATGTGCACTGACTTAGTTTTAAGAGGATCAATTTGGTTGCTCTGGTGAAAAAAGACTGCAATGAGAGTTGTTTGGATGCTTTTCCAAGAATCCAGTGGAAAATGTGATTATAATAGGATGAGAATCATAGCACTGGAGGTAAAGTTATATCTAGTAGAATTTGCTGGCTGGAAGTAGGACATGATATAGAGAATGGAGTGTAGATGTTTTGTTTGTTTTGTGTGTGTGTTTGGTTTTACTTGAAAACTGGAAGGACAAAGTTACATTTACAAGATCGAAAAGACAGGACTAACACAACAAAATAACGACAGCTCAGTTTTCATCATGTAAAGTTGAAGAGACCTATTAAGCATTCATGTGAAGATGATAAGTAACAATTGGGTTAATAAATGTGAAATTTAGAAGAAAGTTCTACACTTTAGATAAACTATCTGAAAATCATGTGGACAGTCAATAAAAACATGAGACTGAATGAGCTCATCAAATGCATGAGTATAGCTAGAGAAGAAAGCAAAAATGTTAGGACTTGTGGTCTCACATACTCCAGCCTTAAAGAGATCAATCAGATGATGACATACAAGCAAAGGTGTCAGAGAAAAAGAAGAAAATAAAAAAGAAAATAAAATAAAACGAAAGAAAATGTATTTAAAAAGGAAGTGGTGTTCAACTGGGGCAAATGCTCTTCATAAGTCAAGATAGATACAAATGGATTTAGCAATGTGGAAACAAGCAATGTAACCTTGGTAATTGCCAATTACTATACGATATATAAATTAATCATATAATCACCTGAAGAAATGTAAATTTGCTACTGCAAAACAATGGTACAATAAGATTCAACTACAGGAAAATTCACCATAGTGAAAGAAGGCTAGGAAGATTTCTTAGAGAAAATGATGGTCAGAAAAATGCTGAATAACTAGTGAGCATTAACTGGGCAACAGAGGGAAGAACTGCCCAAGTCAAGGGAATGTCAGCAGGGGACTAAAAGACAGCAAGTAGAGTTTCTGGAGAACATCAAAGGGAACGAGGGTTAAAATTAGAGGGGATAGATAGGCAGCCCATGCAGTGCCTTGATATTTACAGGGTTTTCTTTTTTCTGTTGGGTTTTTTTTCAATTATTATTATTTCCTTGTTTGCTTTTTTCTTATTCTAAGAACAATGGGAAGCCATTAAGTGGTTTTAAAAGGGAATGGGGTAGAGATAGGGGTGGTGGAATATTCTTACATTCACACTTTGAAAAAGATCACTGGCTGCTCATGAAAAAACAGATTAGTAGAGACTACTATAGATGACAAAGAGAAAAGGTGAATTGCCTGGAAACTTACAGTAGTCCAGGGAGAAATAATGGTAGATTGGCCCAGAGTGGTCAGTGGTAATGTCAGAGAGAAATTGGCAGATTCACGAGAATAGAAATTCCTTTCAAGAATACAGTTGAAACAGCAGTCAGAAAAAATTAACTGAACTTGAATTAAATAAGTGCCCTTAAATATTTGTGAATTATTTAAAACATTTTGTTATTCTTCATTTATCTTCATTGCCATCAGTACTGGAGACCAACAAGCAGACACCTAGAATGACAGTCCTGATCTTGTCCTCATGTTAGCCCACAGGAAAGTACATTTATGGTGTACTGTGTAAGACAAGTGAAAGTGAAGGGAAAACCATAAATTTTATTACTGGAATAATAAGATAAGAAGATAAGATCTTCTTTACCTAAAGTAGTTCTTGTCTGTATTACTGATTCTCGTAATCGAAAATTTCATACATATAAACAATTTAGGTGGGAGGAAACTTTATATTAAAAATAACTTGTCAAGAATGACATGCCAAACAAAGCTCATGTAAAAACTGCACACCTAAATTGTATATTCTAGTTGTTTCTATTTTGAACAGGGCAGATGAAAAGTTACTTGTACATTTGATTCTTGATTATCATGCAATACAAGGTTATTTTAATGACATCCAAGCAGCAACAATATATCTGGCCTAAACTTCGAAAGAGTCATTAATTTAATTCATTCTTTTCTTTCTTTTTTTTTTTTTGAGACGGAGTTTCTCTCTGTCACCCAGGCTGGAGTGCAGTGGTGCCATCTCGGCTCACTGCAACCTCCCTCTCCCAGGTTCATGGCATTCTCCTGCCTCAGCCTCCCGAGTAGCTGGGACTACAGGCGCCCACCACCATGCCTGGCTAAGTTTTTTGTATTTTTAGGAGAGACGGGGTTTCACTGTGTTAGCTAGGATTGTCTCGATCTCCTGACCTCGTGATCTGCCCGCCGCTGCCTCCCAAACTGCTGGGGTTACAGGCGTGAGCCACTGTGCCAGGCCTAATTTAACTCACTCTTTATGTGTTTTCCCATCTTGGCCAAGCAAAAATTACCTACCAGCAGAACAGGATTTCAAAACGTTTCCGTGTAATCTGTTTTCTCTAAGATGGGTTAATCATCTGATGGGCACTGAGTTCACTTAATAAGCATGCTGTCTAGAGACAAGGCAGGAATGCTATTTGGCCTGAACAATCACCAAATAGTTCCTGAAGTCATTACCTTACACCTCAGCCAGAAGTTATCTTGGGAAAGACAATCAAATCTCTTGGCTGCTTACCCAGAGTTTGAGAATCCCAGTAACGTATATTCACAATGATTCACAATGGCATAGGATTGTGATAGCAAATTCAAATGGAAACTAGGAAATAGAGAGCAAATATCTGTGTATATTAGACACAGCTTCCCCTAGAAATAAAGATAGATGCTCCTATGTAATCTGATGTTTGATTCATTGAAGACCTGAATTCTGATTGTCAGCAAATAAAACATCACTTTTCATGCATGAAATATTTTTTCCTTATAAAACTGAGGGATTAATTTAGATTTAGGTAAAATATAGCTGAGATACAAGATAGGTTTTCAAACTCTTTACAAGCCTTTTGGGAAGTGTTAACAAATGCTTTGGGATTTTTCACACTCAAATGTTATTTAACACATCTGGCACAACAGGTGGCATGGCCAGTAGGTCATTTCAGCATGATAATTTGACTTCATATTTATTAGAGCAAAATATGTGTTTAATGAGTATTTCTTTTATCACTATTTCAATCATCATAACTCACCATATCTCTCTTTCTTTTTCTGCCTTTTTTCTTTTTAAATATAACAGACAGGTTAAGGGAATGCAAGTTTTAAAAAGTCTTAGTCATTTTCAGGAGATTTCTTAAAACAAACAACCCACAGCATAGTAAGAGATATACTAAAAGAGCATTTCTTATCATCTTTATTTGTTCTATTTTAAAATGTAGCAACTAGAAATGTATTTAGTGACACAACAACTCATTCACATTTAATTATTCATCTATTCATTACCCAAATATTTGTTGAGTTTATGTGTAAGGCCCTAGTCAAAAGTAGTTGTAATATACAGTTTATATTTTAAAATTGATTCCACCACTTAACAGATATATCAATCTCAATGATTTAAAATAAAGTATGTATAGTACCAAACATGAATATATGTTTAAAATTTAATTTTGGCAAAAAATTACCCCAGGAAAATAAACATCACCATTTTGCCCTACATGATGACATTTATCATTGGCTTCCTAAAACATAATGGAAAGGAAGTTTGCATTATCACTTTATATATTCTATTATTAAACTTTCACTTATACTGATTTCCATACCCAAATAAATCTTGACAGAATAGAGTCATACTGCTTTGTTGTTCAAAAGTTCTCTGCAGCCTTAAAGGTAACTGTCATCTTGTAAGCAATGTTTCAAAGTAGATTAGAGTCTGAACATTAAGTTTTAGATGTCAATTATCTTTATAACTTATAAAACTGATAGAGATGAATACATTTAGATACATTCTATGTTATTAAAGTTTAAACAAATTAATCAGGATCTGTTTTCTTTTAAAATTATATAACTGCCTTAGCTCTATTGATATTTGTAAAAATATAAATGCAGAATTCAGAATTAACCCTGCATAATTAGAGAAGAGGAAAAAGTAACTTAAGGGGAATAATAATGTTGCTGAGAAATGAATAGGATGACAATACAATGATTAAAAATTCATATAAAATGCAAGTTGCATCAATTATAAGGAACACAGTGTGAAAGGGTGTTCCTATGTTGAAAGATAATAAAAACTATTTTAATTTTAAATATCAAAGCATTTATAGTTACAGGTGAGGAAGCACTGAAAATAGATAAAATTTAACCATCTAAATATCAGAAAATATATCAGCTATCTCATATAACATAAGCTATTATTGGTAACTTTAAAAACAACAAAAGAATGTCAAGAAATCAAAAATTTTAAATGTGAATCCTTATTATCAAAGCTTGTGATAGTGATGCCCAAGTGTGCATTCAAAACAATTACTTTTTTTCCAGCTATTTAGAGTAATATGCAAAGTGCAAATGGGAGATGAAATATTTAATTCTTATTCTCGCAACTGGATTCAGCTTAATCAGTTTTACCTTAGAAAGAGATCTGTTATGAGTAACAGTATTAGATGTTAAAAGTAGTCACATGCAGTTAATGTCAGGGTGAAACAACTGAAATCAAAGGAGGAAATTAATTACATAGACATTCTAGTTGGAATCCAGTTGGCATGCATGATCAAGTGGGTCACATTTTGTTTTCTAAGGAATTTGGTAAACAAGTCTGTGTCTTTTGATATCTGTACACAGAGTGTACTATTGCTACTCATTTGATCTTACAGAATACTATAGTCTTCCATAGGTTAACTGATTGTATGCCCTATCTGTATGCCTTATTCCAGTGAGCCCTGTAATAGCACTTGGTCCAACAGCTTCAGTAATAAAGATAATGAACTCTTCCTGGCACTGTGGAGGTCAAATGATTCATAATTTTCAATACTAATTCCAAAGACTTGCTAATGTGACCACTATTTCAACCTAATTGACTATTCTTTAGGTTTGTTATTTGGAAGGCCTTAATTTTTGCTCTATGTTGGTATTTATCATTATTATTTGCACCGTCTGTCTTGTTTATTCTCCCTCTTTTTTTGCTTCTTTTTTTCTTTTCTTGCAACTATAAAGAATATGAGGCCATAATCATTCTCTTTTTGTATCTATGCAGTTTACCACCAGATCCTGCAGGTTTTAAAATTATGTAAGAATTCACATTGATATTTAAGAGTTTCAAGTCCCGAAACATCAGCTGGCTCCCTTCAATTAATTGCTCTTTTTCTGCACAAGGAATCTGCCCACACAACTTACCTTGATGTACTTGGAGCCAATTTCTTCTGACTCACTGTAGCAGTTCTGTAGCTTTCCGGCTGTGATTAATTCTCACATCTGATATTAATTTATATGCTCACTCTTAAGTCATATACTCTTCATTTAGATCTTGGTTCTATACTCACCTGATCTAGCAGCTTTATCCAGAATAGTCCAAATAAGCCTAGGTAATCCTAGTTCAGGACAACAATTCTCTTTCTTTCTCCAAATGAACAGGCACTTTTATGTTTCCAAGTGCCACTGAAGCATCAATTTACTGAGATACATAGCAGTTAACATAATTAAATTGAATCACACAATGAGCTTTGTTGAGGTCTGAAGGAATTAATAGAACTCCAGGCAAAGAAGAGGTTAAAATTTTTGAACCATTTTAGCTAAGCATCTGAGATGTTTAGATATCATCTTCTATTTCAGTATAAGGAGATCTAATTTCAGCCAATCGCTGCCCTGTTTATATTTTGGAAACTTCTCCAAATAATTGGAAAATGCATTAGTGCAAAGTCACTCACTCCTGTCTTTGATGATTTATTTCCCCTCAAGAGAAAAAAAAAATACAATGACATGTTATTTAGTTGCCAAATAAAAAGTTGTCTCAGCCTGGCGTGGTGGCTCACGTCTCTATTCCCAGCACTTTGGAAGGCCGGGGCGGGGGGATCACAAGGTCAGGAGTTCGAGACAATCCTAGCCAACATGGTGAAACCCCGTCTCTACTAAAAATACAAAAATTAGCTGGGCATGGTGGTGCATGCCTGCAATCCCAGCTACTCAAGAGGCAGAGGCAGGAGAATCACTTGAACCCGGGAGGCAGAGGTTGCAGTGAGCCGAGATCGTGCCATTGCACTCCAGCCTGGGCGACAGGCAAGACTCTGTCTCAGAAAAAATAGTTGTCTCACATATGGAAAATTCCATATCTGTTCCACTACCACCTTTATTATTCAAACTGAGATTTAAAAATCAAATATACTTGTTACTCCACCCATTTAATTTTGTATTCTCCTCTTTCATTCACTTAAAAAATAAAATTGGAACTTATTTATTTTCCTTAAAAAATCATTCTATACTTCACAGAGACTATTGGAAACTACATTTCATAAATCAGTTGAATTATAAGGAATCATGCAGTGAATTCCTAAACCCCAAACACTCTTTTTTTATAGCTTTTACTTCTTTAGAACTTCTAGACGGATATAAGTTACTTGTTTGTCCAGTAACTTGACTGCTTATTACATGTTTACCACTGCTGTAGCAGCTAGATTTGAAAATAAAGGACGTTTTCCAGCAGTACCTAACGCTTATGGTCACATTATAGAATACAAAAGCACACACTGACTTTTTCAGGAGTTTTAAAATAAGTATATTGTTATTTTATTTTCCTCTTTAGAGGCTTAGACATTGGTCAGAAATAGCACTGTGGCAGTCATCTAGTGGTTCCTATGCCAGGTTGCAGGCATTGGCCTGAGAGGTATTCTGTTACATTCAGTGGGTGAATTCACCTGATGAAGCATGTTATAGATGTTATACATACATGTCTTTCTACCTATGTTAACCTTCCCTGAGACCTTGTGTGGGAAAGCCACTATAAAGACATATTCTAAATAGGTCACTCACTGTCATGATCTGGTTGTGTCTGTCTCTCCATTATGTCTCTCTATTATCCGCAAGTACATGATGGACCCTTAAGATAATAAATTAAGTTAGATTGGTATTTTAAAATTTAACTATCAGAGGCTTAAATTATAAATGAGGTATAAATTGCTGTTTTAATTAATATTATTTGATAGAGTAGTTATTTCAGAGCAAAAATTAAAAAAATTGGAGAAATCATGAAATATAATTTTGCAAAACAGATACTTTGAAGCTATGTTGGCAATTACAGCATGCCTGAAATCTATCTAAAATTTATCTTTTCCACATTAAAATATTTTTAACTATTAATATGATCTTAGCATTTCAGGTGGCAATCCTGTGACATTCTTCATATCCAAAGACAAAAGCCATCTCTAGGACACAAATAAAACTTTCCAGTGGAGCTTGCTGGAGCACTTCTCGAATTCCTATCCAGCACCGTCATTCTACAATCTGTTTTCTTTCAAAGGGAATATATTTCAACTGAGATTTTTCCTCTTTGACTGCATGTTATATAAGTACTTCACTGATTTAGTTCTTTCTACTAGGTGATCACATTTTCCTTTTTCTGAGTCTACCGATTTCTGCAATTTATGGACTGAGCATCTCACACTACTCTCTGGGTGGTTTATGTAAATAACAATAATAAAAGCCCCTGAAGCTGCATCCCTGTTCCCAGTGGTTTCCCACTGACCTCTTTCAGCTTGAAAAGGTTCTATCTATTGCTGATTTTTTTTTCCTTCCTACTGGCAATTTTCAGCCTACTGTGCTTCTTCATCTCATTTCTTGACTCTTTCTTGACTTAAGAATTAATTATTGAAATGTATCAGATGCACTCTGAAAATGTCAGTGTATTTAGTTGGATTTACAAAAAAGCACAGCTTTTCAGCCAACATGATATTGGAAGTGAATATCAAGTAGCACCTTTCTCCACACATCCTTTTCACAGGCAACAGAAAAACATAAGGCAGATGATCTATACCATCTCTGAAAAGGTTTGTGCTGCATAAGGACATTTGTCTCTATCGCTTTAAAGCATAATGTTTACCTTTGCATTTTAGTGCCTTTTTTCCCATTGAAACTTTAACAAACACTTTGTATAGAACTACAAGAGACTCACAGAAGCTGTCCATCTATCCTCCTGCCTCCTAACCAGCCTGGGGCTAATTTAATCTATCCAATTCAGACAGTTATTGATCCCAGTAAAAAAAAGAATTCACTACCTCCCTTGTATTGGGTAGAATATTCTACAAACCTGTCCTCACAAATCCAGATACAGGAATTCATACACTGAATAGCGCAAAGAGGCAGCTTTCAAGTGAAAACAATTTAAACTCAAAGGTTAAAATCACCTCAAAAGAGATTCTAAAGTATTTATTAAAACATCTCAGGTATAGATTTAGGAAGAAAAGAGACATTGTAAGTCATAAGAGAAAATTTTAAAAGATATTTAAATAAATATATATTTAAGTAGTTAAGATTTCATCCATATTAAATTGTAAAATAATTATTAGGCAAGTTCTACTTTAGGTACTTCTGTTCAATGGTGTATACAAATAACAAAAGAGACAAAATCCCTAGCCTCATAGAGCATATACTCCAGAGGGGGAAGACAAACAACAATAATAGCAAGATGAGTAGACATTCTAGTCATGTTTAAAGGTGATTAGTACTATGAAGAAAACACAAGGAAGGGATCTGAGACATGCCTAGTGGTAGGGCAACTGCTACTTAAACTGGAGTAATGGAACTCATGGAGAGTACAATGATGGTTACCAGAGGCTAGGAAAGGTAGTGGGGGATTTAGGGGATGGGACAAGGAATGACTAATGGGTACAAATAAATAGTTACAAAGAATGAATAAGATTGAATATTTGATAGCACAATGGGGTAACTAAATTCAATAATAAATTTAATTGTACATTTTTAAATAATCAAGAGTATACTTGGATTCTTTGTAACACTATGGATAAATGCTTGAGGTGAAGGAGATCGCATTTACTCTGAAGTAATTATTACACATTGTGTATCTGTATCAAAATATCTCATATAACCCATAAACATATACATCTGCCATGTACCCACAAAAAATAAAAAAATATAAAGATAAATAATAAATAAATAAATAAATAAGTAAATGAAATACTCGGGGTAAGGTCTTAATGAGAAGACGATGTTTGGACAGAATGAAGGTGGGGAGGGAGCAGCCATGAGGCTATTGGGGGATGAGCACTATGAGTTAAGTATAAGATCAGAGCAAGGGCCCCAAGGCAGGAGTATGCTTGCCATGCTTAAGGAGCAAGGGGTCTGGAATGGGTGAAGAAGATGGAGGCCAGGATCAAAAGGAAGTCAGGAGGAGAGAAGAGTGGATGAAATTGGTGGGGTAACAGGACCTGGTTGCATGGGGACAAGTAGGCCAGCTCAAGGGCTCAACTTTTACTCTGAGTGCAATGGCAAAGCATTGGCAGGGCAGCGGAAGAATGGCATGCTCTGCCTTATGAATTTAAATGGAAATTATGGTTGCTTTGTTGGTGAGGGTTCAAGATGTTATTGTAATACTATAGGGAAGAGTTAATGGTGGTTTTTATTATGTGCTAGTGTGGCGTTGGTGAGAAGAAATTGCATTTAATTTAAAATTATAGCCAGGAGACTTTTCTGGAAGTTTGGAGGCAGAATGCAGAGAAAGGAAAGAGTCAAGGGTGTCTCTAAGGCTTTGGCTGATTGTTAAAAGCCCAAGCAATTTCTACCTCAGTGGCTTTTGATGTTATTACTGGATTGCCATAAAATAATTGTTCATAATGAGGTTCTAGTTGCTCTTTGGGGAAATTTTAAATTGAAGTTGTTAAAAATAAAAAATCTCCATGCTTTTAAAAAGTACTAGTAATCATTCAACATTTTTATTTTGTTGGATAATGGTATTTTCCTGACTGTGTGTCTTCTTTTATTTCCTAGTTGACCATAAGTGTTGTTGAACTTTTCATTGTGTTGGAAGGGGGAAGGCTAAAGTTGGGGGTAGACTTTGATTCTGACACAACAAATAAATGGATCATGGAGAAAATAAAAAAAACAGGCAAAAGAGAGATTAACAAGGAAGGAGTCTCAGAAAGAAAACAGTCAACACGATTCAGAAGTAAGATGTAACTTTATATAAAGAGTGTTACGTGGGCTGGGTGTGGTGGCTCACGCCGGTAATCCCAACACTTTGGGAGGTGAAGGTGGGAAAATCACTTGAGACCAAGAGTTCAAGACCAGCCTATGCAACATTGCGATACCCCATCTCTACAAAAAATTAAAAATTATTCAGGCATAGTGGTGCATGCCTGTAGTCCCAGCTACTCAGGAGGCTGAGGTGGCAGGATGGCTTGAGCTGTTGAATGAAATTATGAAGTTACATCTTACTTCTGAATCGTGTTGAATATTTTCTTTCTGAGATTCCTTCCTTGTTAATTTCTCTTTTGCCTATGTTTTTTTTCTTGTTTTCTCCATGGTCCATTTATTTTTTGTGTCAGAATGAAAGCCTACCCCCAACTTTAGCCTTCCCCACTCCAATACAATGAAAAGATCAACAACACTTATGGTCAACCAGGAAATAAAAGAAGATACATAGTCAGAAAAATACCATTATCCAACATAATAAAAACGTTTAATGTTTACTAGTACTTTTTAAAAGGATGGAGTTTTTTATTTTTAATTTTAACAACTTCAATTTAAAATTTCCCCAAAGAGCAACTAGAACCTCATTATGAACAATTATTTTATGGCAATCCAGTAATAACATCAAAAGCCACTGAGGTAAAAATTGCTTGGGCTTTTAACAAGCATTGCAGCTATGCAAGATTCCTTCTTGCTCATTTCTGATTTCTAGAAACATACCTGTTGATCATTAGCACTGTTATCTTATTACATAAATAGAACTGATGGATGTATATTTGGAAAAGCCCTGTGTGTTTTTCTCCACCTACTCATTGAAAACAAAGGCTTTAGAAGGAAAAATATGGAGAATTTGTATTGTAACATCGATATTCTAAGCACAAAAACAAGTGTACCATATAACTGCATTTTTCTAAATTCAACAAAATGGTATTTTGTGCCATCATTTCATATGTGCCTGCCCTCCTCCTTTTCTTTTTCTCTTTCTCTTTCATTGTCAGTATTTTCCTCATATCTTTCATCCCTGTGACTCCATCCTGCAGCTCCTGAATAAAAGTCTCTTTCTCTACACTTAATGTCTCATGTCTGCTTTAGAGTCTTATCCCAGTCCTAAGATCTTCTGAGGAAAAATTTCTCAGGAATCCCTCTGAACCATCTAGAGCTCACATTGTCTTCCCGTGACTCAGGGGGTAACTCTCCCCAAGCTGCCCTTCCAATTTCTCTTCTACTCATTGATTTTTCTTCATGTTGTCAGAGATAGATGTGTCTTATCTCCCCACCTCCATCATGTCTTTTCAAATCTTTTGTTAAGTCCAAGTTTTTTCTCTGAGGGCTGAGGCTTTTAAAATCAAAAAGCTAGGAAAGAGTTCGTTTTCCTCTAATTTTTGAATTTACATTTTCCCTGTTGTCAGGATACTGAATAACCTGACTTCTGCCTGATTTCAGAAGGTAAAACAGGATGAAGAGAAGACCAAAGCAGATCTGGAAATATAAGAAAAATATGTAATAATATTTCAAAAATATTAACATTGACTACCAGAAATACTACAGATAACATCCTGTACTCGCTTGACTCTTAAATTGCTTGTTTACCAATTCACCAACACCAAGCAATTTCATTTACATTTTGGAGAATTATGTATCCTGTTTTCAATATTTTCTTTTACTCATGCATTCTTCATCTATGAAGCTTCCATCTTACGAGATGGAAATTAAATAATTTCTTAAAATTAGAAATTAATTTGTTTTATGATCACCTATGAATAGTTAACACATTACTTAAACACAGATCTTCATATTATGTGACAAACAATTTTCTACTTAACACTTCCTTGTATGTTTGTATATTAATATAAATAAATTGTCTGCCCTCCAATTAGAAGGAAAGAGTAAATAAGATACTTGTAGTACATGATGAGAGATTATTAGGATACAGGAGAAAGTGAAGGCAACATCAATGGGAGAAAAAGAATGAGAGGCAGAGAATCAACCCATCTTGGCTGAGCTGCTTCAAGAATGGTAAAACCTTTATTCTTCTATGATGTTCTGGTGCCTTATAAAGAGGATACTAAATGGGTATGACAGCAGAAATACAGTAAAGACTATAAATGTAATATGCAGGCTGTTTCAGTGTTTAAAATAGAATGAAAAATTTGGAAATTTATGAACATTTAGAATCTCATTAGTTTCATAAATAACCACAGTCTCAATGAGATCATCAAAACTGCTAGCATAATCAGGTTTATACTGATTTACTTTTTAATATTACTCATTTTGACAATGAGGAGCAGTTTCTGAATGAATTATGTGCTGTAGGATGACACTGTATGGAAAGGAGAACTAGAGTGGGCCTCATATGAGGAGGCGTACTAATTGATACAGTAAAACTTTTTGATATAAAGGAGTTTCCTCTATAAGCTGCTATGGCATTTAATGCAAAGAAATATGGTTCATTTTTAACATTTTATTATAATATAAAACATCCTTTCAATATGTTTTTAAAAATGCATGTGTGTGAAATTGTTTTATAAATTGAGAACTTTTCCCCCTGTTGAACCATAATCTCCATTAGTAGAAAAAGAAGATTATGTAGATTTTTTTCTCTATCAAACTCTCAGGAACATTCCTCTTCCAGACATCAAAGCCTTTCTCTCATCATACTGCTCTTAATAGGCCTCAATATTGTTAGCTTTTAAAATGAAAGTATTGAGAAGTTCATTTATATTCTTCTTATAATCAACTTTATCTTATTTATGTCTAGACATCCATTTAAAAAAAAAATAAGCAGACAGCATTGCCAAAAGAAACGAAGCAGGCGAAATAGCCTAAATTGTCCTTATGTCTCCTTTCTAGTCAATTTATTTCTCTACCCAGGTTTCTGATGGGTATCTGTGTTTGTGCAGGAACTCTGACTGTATCTACTTCAGCTGAACGCTCACTTATCTGAGTCTAATAATGTCAGGGCCCTAGATGCAAATAGGATGGAGAAGACTGGAAGAGAGATTGTGTTAGTCACATCACGCATTTCTCAGTTTCACATCATCTGAAAAACTTTCCCTGCCTGGTTTCCTCAGTCTTTCCACAGCTGCCCTCATCCTAATCCCATTTAGGGGGGTTTCCTTTATGCACTTTTATGGTGGCCTGTATTTGCCTCTCTCAGGTGTTTACCACATGTTTTTGTCTTTATTGATATGTTCTTTTATCTTTCTAAACTGTAAGGAACTTTACTAGTTCTTAATATAGCAACTAGTCATCTGTAAGTATTCAATGTTGTCTGGTGGATAAATGAATTAATTATAAAAGTATTCAAACAGTGTACATCAAAGAAGGCAGCTCAAGACATGCTGTAAATATGAGATAATAATAACTTTTGATATTAAGTTGAAAGCTACAAGATATCAACAGTGTCTTTAGATAAGTTCAATAAGCTTTTCAGAGTATAGCTTCAACTGTGCTTATGATTCATATCTAATGCAGAATAACAAGAGAAATTCATGGGAAAAAATATGCCACCTACAAGGAACAGATTTGCACAATACTCCTTATCATTAGTAAACAGAAAATGTCAGAACAGGTGTATACTTTTGAAACAAAAGAATTCAATACCATATACAAAACAAACAATGGCAAGAACAACAACAAAAAACTGATATCAAATGTATCCCCAATTTGTTACTAATTACTAATTACTTAGTAATTAGTAATACTAAGTGCAGATGCTTTTCTAAACACTTTTTACTCATTTTCTTACTTCATCTGTATTGCAACCCTAGAAGAAATAGTTATATGAGTTTCATTTTTATAAAAATAATTAGCGTGATAATTATTCTTCAGTTATCTTTACTTTCACAGCATAACCCATTTTTTCCTACTTATCATTACATTATTAAATGCTTTAATGAAGTACAAATCAATTTTGTTAGAAATTGCCAATCTAAAAAGAAAAAGATTACTTGCTCTAAATTGATACAACCCGGGATATATCTGTATCTTGGAACATTTTGTGGTATAAATAAATTTTAAAAATGCTGACAGAGAAATCTCTACAGCAAACTATAGACAAGTTTTGTGTATTTGTGTTGTGTGACTGTGCATAGAGAGGAAGAAATATGTGGTAGTAACATGACAATCACTAAGCCCAGAATATTTTCATATGCAGAGGTTCATGAATTTCCTTGGGATTAAAGTAAATGTGTTGTGAATTCTACCATTCCTTTTGTTTTATTTTCAAGTGCTAACATTTGCCTATCCCTAAATAGTTTTTGTTTGTTTGTTTAGTTGGGAGAATTTGGGTATACAATTTATATCAGTATTTTTGTTGTTATTGTTGCTATTTGGGTGCTTTGTGTATGGTATTAGATTCCTTTGTTTTAAGAGTATATACCTCTTCTGATATTATCTGTTTAGTAATGATCACGTGTATGGTCAACTCTTCTCCTTTTAGGTGATGTAAAATTTTTCCATGAATTACTCTTTGTCATTCTGCGTTAGATATAAATCTTAACAATTTTTAAAGCTATAGTCTGAGAAGTTTATTGAACTCATCTTAAGACTTTTTTGTATCCCATATCTTTCTGTTTAATATCAAAAGTTCAACCTTTGATCATGCATTTTTACTTTCAGAAGATGTGTAGTAATTTTCTCACCAACTCCACATCTTTTGAGATGTGTTTTCATCATGAATGAGTTTATTTTGACATCCAGATAGCATTTGCTGAAATGTGAATGGTGTGTTCTCTGCTACTTAATTTTCTAAGGTCATCCCTCCAGCTTTCTAAAATTTGTCATTTATTCATCTGTCTTTAAGCTTGCAATTGGAAATTTGGGAACAAAGTGGAATTGTACAAGCAGCAGGACTGAAAATACAAATATTCTTCCTCTTGTTCCTTGTCATATTGGAAATATTCTATGATTCAATGAAGAACACTTTGAGATACAGAATAAGGGGTTATGGTAAATATAGTGAATATTCAATCATTGTGTTCTTTAAATGTATTTATAATACATACAAAAATACAACAAAGAAAATATTTTATTATTTCCCTTTCTCATGGTAAGAACAGCTAGATTCTTTAGTGGGGCATTTTTATTAAAATGAGTAAGAAATATATCAAGTGCCATGGTACAGAATATTTACTATCTTGGATGTCTGATGTTGCTCTGGCACTAAGATAAAAAGAATTAGAGCATTTTTTTTTATTGACTAGTTTCCTAAGCTAGGGTCCTCCATGCTATCAGTGTGCATACTCAGGGAACAAATGTAATTTCATATGTGACACCATTTACCGTATGTTATAATTTGACAAGCTTAGTGAGAACTTGGTTCATGAAAAGCAAACATTCATAACTTTCTTTCTTGGAAGCCTCATTACAAAATTACATATAATATAGGCATTAGATTTAGAATTTAAATAAGAGAGGAATTTAATATCAACTAAAACAAGCATAAAAGAACATTTTGAAAAGTAATTACCCAGAAATCTTGAAACTGGAAAAGAAAGAATGTAGGTCAAAATTGGAGGTCCTAATGTACAGTGAGTCATTCAGCTGGGAAGAAACCCGAGAGGTGAGGCAAAAACTGGGTAGGGGCAATGGTGGTGGAGGTGATAGAAAAGAACCTAAGATAAAAATCTAGTCAAGGGGTCTAACATTCATTGAGAAACTATGTGTAGTGAGGAAAGGAACTACCTATGTCTGAACATGAAGCAAACCAGTTGTAGGTTGAGCTTCATTTTTCTCAACGGCAAACAGTTTTCATTTGTTTTCAGGATTGAAGAGTAAAACTCTTAAGGATATCCTTGGTATTATTAGATGTCATCTTACAATATTTATCATCTTAATGACATGTTTAAATAAGTATGTTTTATAAAATATATTTGTTGAGAAATAGAATTTTATTTCTATGTTCCTATTTCATGGAAAGGTTATTCAGAATTCTCATATACATCTTTGGCATCAGAGACTTGTCATCAATACACCCATGTGTTGAGTCATTTAACATGTGTTTCTCAGAGCACGTCTTCACATCCATTTAGGTTCTTTGAGACGCTGCAGCACTCTCACATTTGTCTATGATGCAAATTTTAATGCAAACCCAAAGTACCCATTTGCTTTGCATGGTCTTCACCAGACAGTCAGTTAATATATTTCTTAAAGGATCTTTTAAAAACTCGACAACCAACACTTGCAATTATCCAGGCATATGCTTATGACTAAGCCCATGTTAAATTCTGTTTGCTTTTATTTTATGTTTGTAAAGATCATCTCAAATGACCTTTATAAATATCAGAACTATCACTAGAGGATGTCATTAGGTAAATGTCTCTTCTGACAATAGTAGTATGAGAGCCTTCGTAAGGACTAATACCTATGGTAATTTTTCTTAGAAATGATTTTAGATGAAATGAATCAAAAAGGGCCCTAGCACAAAACACTCAACTTTAAGATAATTTAAATAGAATTTAACAAAGAGATGTTTAACAAAGAAGTGGATAGTGTATAGGAAAAGAAACAGTGCACTACCCCATGGTTGGTAACAGGGCAGCTACCACCAATACTCAACCTGAAGATGCAAAAGGAGATAATGATTTCCAAGATAAGAAAGAGAGAATAGTGTAGAGAGAGCCACTTTCAAAGATGAGGCCTAGCCAGCATGATGCAACCCTGCTGGGATATGAGATTCTGACCTTTTTCTTTCCTTTTTCTGATCTGCTGAAAGAGTTCTGCACTTGTCTAACTTAATCAGAAGCCTCCCAGGGCAGAAACAGGTAGAGAAGGATCAGGGGTGTGTGGTGTAGATCTAGGCAGTCAAATATAAGATATGCAGCCCAGGAAGAACTTTAACATCTCTCCTCCCTTCTCTTTTCTTCTCTCCCTTCTCCTTATGTCTCATATGTGTGCGTGCACACACACACACACACACACACACACACTAAGTTGACTTAAGCTTTTCCAAAGTCCATCAGCAGGTCAGCATGTGGGATTTGGATTCTGACTATATGAAAGGATTAAACTTTTGCATTGTTACCCAGGAAGAAAGAAGACAAATTATCTGAAAACAAAAATAGCCATTCTGATGCCTCCTGTCTCATTGTCTAGTAAGTCATCCTAAAGTTATTGCCCAAATGCAAACATTAATGTCCAGATTGCCCCACTCGTGGAAAGAAAAAAATCATGGATTTTTTTTTCTGCAAGTAAATACAAAAGTTTCAACACATAAATAGAGTGAAGGTAACACAAATAGTTTTCAGATGAATTTAATCATTCAGATGCTGAATATAAATGACAATCCAAAAAACATTGGCCAATTAAGAAAATAAAGGAAAAGAGTACAAAAGCAGAGGCTGGAAAACAAAGCACCTTAAAAAATACTAAGGAGGCTTCCCAGGTTTGCCATGGTGAATTTTTTCCTTACTCAGTAGGTACAAATAGAAAATGTTCACAGAAATATTTTTGTCATGCAGCTGCAAAGGTAGGCAGATCTGCTTTCTATGATTGATGATATCGTTTTTCCTTTTAACATGACAGAATTTGTTAAAAAAAGAAAAACAACTGTGCTCCCAGGGATATTGGGAGCTGTGCTGTAGACAGCAGATGTATGGTTCGTATCTAATATCCAAATACATTAAATATATATTTTTTTCAAATGCTATGGCATTATTAGAAAAGCGGAAAGACAGTCCTGGCTTTGATGAAGCAAGAAAGAAAGGACATTATAAAGGAACGCTGGAAGAGGCAAAAAGAAGAAAGAGGAAGGGGAAAGAAAGGTAAAAGAAAATAAGTATCAGAAAATGATGTGGAGAGAGTGTAAACGTAGAAACAGGAAAAAAAATGTGATTGCAAGAAGAAATAGGCAGACACCAGAACCCTGATATGTGACATTTGTACATATAAATTTAGTGAAAGACAGTTGCAGTTTCTCCTGTCATAATAGCCAATGGGTTAAACACTGACATACACACACACTGTACACAACCTTTGTACCTGTTGGCATCACATAAGAAGTCGGTCTACTTCTAGTCTACCTTCTCAAGTACAGCTCTATGCCTCTTCATGGGAGGTGATCTGGTGCTAGCTAAGAATGACTAGGAACAACATGAGCAGACAATATAGGAACTAGAACAGGTGAGTACAAAGCGTGCAGTAAGGGTAGAGAAAATTATGACACCTGTTCTGATATGACTCCTATTGTTAGTGGCCGCGAACTCGTATGCGTCTGCAGCAACCTCAATTCTTGCTGCCAGAGAAGAAAGAATTCAAGGGAGGGGCAAAAGGCAGAGTGAGAGACTGAGACAAGTTTTAGAGCAGGAAGGAAAGTAAAGTAAACTTGGAAGAGGGTCAAGTGGGCAACCTGAGAGATTCAAGTGTGTGGCTTGACCTTTGACTTGGGGTTTTATAGGTTGGCGTTCTTGCAGGGTCTGATTTTCTTCTCCCTGGACTCTTCCTTTGAGGTGGGCTGTCTGCATACGCAGTGGCCTGCCAGCCCTTGGGAGGGGTGCACGTGTCGTGTGTTTACTGGAGATGTATGCGTGCTCACTTGAGGTGTTCTTCCCTTGCCAGTCTAATGTTTCTAGAAGTCATATACCAGTTAAATGTGGCCATTTTGTCTCTTAATGTGCACACTTGAGCCCACTTGCCCAGGTCCTGAAATCTTACTGGAAAGCTGCTGATCACCAGCTTCAGGTGTTTCTATCTATTGGGAGACTGCCATTCCCTGACACCAGGTGCAACCAATTATTCTTTTAGACAGTGAAACAACCACCTGACCATCACCTGATGGTTGCCTGACAGTCCTGGTGGGGGGCCCTCTCCTGCTCTGATCATGTCTAACTAGCTACCTACTCTAACACTCTAACACTAAGGATTCACAGATTTTTAAATCACTATCTCATATGGAACTCACCGTAAGCCTAGAAAGGTATTTGAGTAGCTTTTTACTTGTCTTCTATAATGTACCCTAGTTATTTTATGAATTTTCGTATGCTTTACCTACAGATCACTGGTTATTAGAACCAAGCAACCATGGGTCTGCACTTTGTTTGATTTGCCAGTTTCAACATTTATTTAATTTGATCACAAAATAGTGCTAATCAAATTCTCCAAACAAGTTTTGTGAGAATGTAAAAACAAAAAGAAAACAATAATAATAAAAGCCATTACTGATTATTTCAAATTTCTTCAATAAAACAAACATTAACATTGTCATGACTGTCTCAATTTTTTTAAAAAGAAACTAACATTTTAACAAAAAAACAAACAAACAAAAAAATACCACCATAGAGTATTGACATTTTTTTAAAAGCAGCGTGCAACTCAAAAGGATCTTGGCTTATAGAAAAATGAAATAGAAATATCCTTAGAAGGTAAAACGTATTGATTTAAATTAACAGTAAATTAGTCAGATTCTTTTCAGTTGCAAGTTACAGAAACCCAGTTCTAATAACTTAACCATATTTGATGTTTTTTACAAAAACTCTCTGGCACCAACTGGACGTCCTACAATTTAACTCAATTCTGATATATTATCTAGAGTTAGTGCAGTCCCACAAATTAGGAGTCAGTTGCACAAGACCATCCCCAATTCCATTGTCAGCCAAAGTTATGGTATCCTCAAGTTACCCATACTTGACCTGGCTGACCCAAAATGTGGGGGTTCCCTCAAGCCTTTCCTCTCCTCCCCCTCCAGGTTGGAAAATGTGTTAGAACAATTTACAGAACTCAGGAAAGCACTACCATTATATTTTTATTATAAAGAATACAACCCAGGAATAGCCAAATGGAAAAGATGCTTTAAAATGGTATGTGGGAGTGGGTGGGTAGCCCAGAGCTTCCTGCCCTCTCCAGACATGCCACCCTGTCAGCAAACTGTTGTGTTCAACAACCTGAAACCTCCCCAACCTCATTGTTCAAGTTTTTACTGAGACACTTCATTACTTGGACACTGTATTAGTAGTCCATTCTTGCACTACTATAAAGATTTGGCAATTAATAAAGAAAAAAGTTTAATTGGTTCACTATTCCATGGGCTGTACAGGAAGCATGGCTGGGTAAGCCTCAGGAAACTCAATCATGGTGGAAGGTGAAGGGGAAGCAGGCATATTTTACAGGGCTGGAGCAGGAGGAAGTGAGAGAAGGGGGAGGTGCTACACACTTTTAAACAGCCAGATCTCCTGAGAACTCACTATCATGAAAACAGCAAGAGGGGAATCCACCCCCATGATCCAATCACCCCTCACCAGGTCCCTCCTCCAACACCAGGGATTATAATTTCACATGAGATTTGGGTGGTGACACAAATCAGAACCATATCAGATATGACTGATTAAATCATGGCCACTTGATTAAACTCAACATGTAGCAACTTCCCTCTTCTCCAGGAAGTTGGGAGATGGGGCTGAAAGTTCCAAACCTCTAATCACTTGGCAAGCCCCTCCCTTGACACTCTCTAAGAGGCCACCATGACACACCTTGTTAGCATAAACTCAAGTATGGTTGAAAGGGGCTCATGATGAATAACAAAAGACATGCCTATGGCTCAGAAAATTCTAAGGGTGTTTGAATCTCTTGTGACAGGAGTCTAGGACAAAGACCAATTTTTTTTTTTAATTACACCACAGCATAAAAAGAGATTTAATGGTCTATATGTCTGGAAAGTTCAGGGTGACCTTTAGACATGACTGAACGCAAGGGCTCGAATAATGTCATCATCATGTCTTTTTCTCACAAACTTCTTTTCTCCACTTTCTTCTAACTCAAGTTTATTCTTAGATGGTCTTGGACCAAATTAGGCAATGATTAATTCTGATTATTGAATCCAGATTGCTCCAGATCCTTATCTACATATATACATGATCATTGGCTCTCCCAATGTTTGAAGACATTGCATATTGAATACACATATAATTAAATTTTATTTGACATTGTCAGTTATGCTAGTTTTACTGCATGGTACAATGGGATTTGTAAAAGAAGATCATGTAGTAACTGCTTGATATTGTAACCTGTGATATTATATGAACTGTATTTATTCTTACATACGGACATCATATTAAATATATAGCCTACATATGTAAATACCATATTAAATATGTAACCTATTTATGAGGTTAATGTCAAAATATTAGTTTTCTTTCAAATTATCTCAGCATAGATATTAAGATTATATTACTAACTTTTTAGTCTTTTTAATCCAATTTGAACAGTATCGAATAGTTTTTTGTGTGACAGAAAATAAATTATTTTATTTTTGAATCAACTCTATGATTTTAAGAAATATTGATCGGGTTATTTCCCAAAGCTGAAAATTTAGGACAGACAGAGACGTTTTATATAATTGGATCTCCTGCACAGTAGAAGGAGTGAAATAGGCAAGATGGTTTAATAAAAATATCATTTGACTTTTCACAACAGTGAAGTGATTCATTGATCTCCACTTGGGTTGTCAGAGCTCAGGAGACGAAGTTTATCAGAAGTGAAAGTTGATGAATATTGGCTGTTTATGGCTTTATAAAATAATATTGGCTGTTTATGGCCTTATAAAATATTAATATTAAGTAAAGGAATGTTTTAACTAATGAAATTTACTATAAGCCTAGACTTAGATACCACAATGACAACTTGGAGAAGAAATTAACATTTGCAATGATATTAGAAGACTATAAGAAAAGGACTAAAGATAAGAGTTTGGCTTGAAGACGCGTATTTGTTCATGCTTTAACTTATTTAACATTCAAATATTTTAATTGAACACCTACATTACGAAAGACAAATATTAAGTTCTTGGTTTAGAGAAATAAAGAAACATGGCTCATGTACTTAAGGAGCTTGCAATTGAGGAGTCCCAATACTTTAATTTTTGTTTCAAGAAGCATGTAACCTGGTCACAGAAATAGACGAGTAAATGGATAATTTAGAGTGTGATAAATGTTAGGTATATAGATAGTAGATGATACAGAAACATGAGATGGAGCATTTAAAAAAAACTGGAATAGGCACTAAAATACGAGGAGTGATAAAGGCTAAAATTTCAAAGCTTAATAGAAGTTGAGCCAGATACTGAAGGGATGGGCTACTGCACATGATTAATGATTAATGCAGTTGAGAAGAAACATAGTATTGTAGATTCTAGGGACTTCAAGTTTTTTATGACTTAGTATATAATGCAAGAATAAAGTGATTGGAGATGAGGCTGGAGAGTGAGAGATGATTGAGATACTAAAGGAGGCATTTGATTATAATCTTTGTGATCTATTGAAAAATCTTTAATGATTGACATTCAAATGTATGTTTGAAAAGATTCCTCTGAGTTTTAGTAGAGTGGGTTACTTTATCCTAGGCTGACTGAACTTAATAATCAAATGGAAGTTTTATAGATTTCGCCAGGGTGTGCAGAGGATGTAAAGTACCACAGACCAACAGATGGAAAAGTGTAAAGTTACGTTGCTTTATTTGTTTTTTAATTACTCCGGATATATTATTGACGTGGCAGTGCTCACTAAGAGACAAAGGGAGGTAGAAAAACAATAATGGACAGGGATATATATAAGCTGGGAAATGTTTTGGTGGTAGCACAGAGTTCCGTAAATTAGCACCAGGTTGGTACTGTCACATAATTTGTTGGTAGGAGCACAACAGAGCAGCTTGTAAGAACAGATGAGCCAGGGCACAAATAAAGCAATGAACATTAATCAGCAAAACTTAATTTAGCATTGGACATCTAGATGGCACTCAGTGATGCTGATCATTATTACCATACTGCCATGCACAGAGGGACTCAAAAAATATTAGTTGATGGTAATTATAAACTCAATGAGAAACATGACTAGCATTCCCCACCCCCATTTAGGCTATCCTTTCCAGAAAACATTTTCATGTTTATGACCACTAGTAAAAGACACCTTGTGGAGAAATACTTTGACCATTATCTAGGCCTAAAGATACTCTTAATTTTATGTGTTTCTTTATAAAACACAGACAAATTTATTCATACACTGTATTCTATTTCCAGTAAAATGTTTTATCTATTTATGTTCCTGATGACTCAATATTTAGTTTGGTTTTATTTGAGTCAGAGGTTTAAGTATGTAATCCATTAAACTTAAAGACAAATATTACTAAATATGACTGGGATGTTCAATGTAGCAGTAATCTCACCCAAGGTGAATCTTATTGGCTATTATATTGCCAATTTCACTTGAAGTAGTTGATCTCACATTAATGAGTCTTTTTTGGTACTAGAAGTATCAGTGTTCTGGCTTGACTGTTTAAAAGCTTGTCTGCATGTTTCTTAATTTTGTCCCAAAGACAGAAAAATTATGAATATAAATTTTAATATATATTGCTGAGCATGAGAAGGGGTAAAGTGGGGGTGGGGACACAGAACTTAAAATAACTAATTCAAATATGATGTACTCATACCTAATAAAGTCCAAATGATAATAAGAAATAATGCTATTGCACATGTAGGTCCAGCTATTATTTGGAACAGTTTATCATTTACTATACAGAGAGGGAATCAAACAGAGGCTGATTTCATTTATTAATTTTTTAAAATAATAAATGTATGGATATATGATTAATGCTCTCTCATCTTCCTTTTTATCATGCTTAGAATATCTTACCAGAGAATAAAAGACATTGCTTGAGATCCTCTGCTATGGTTCTTTATTCCTGCCTAGTTCTCTTCTGCATTACCCAATTTTCCTCAAATATATCCACTTTAAGCACTTAAATTTCAAGCATAGAATGAAAAGGTAACACAATATCAAAATGTTATGTTTTAACACACGAATATGGTCTACTATATAAGCATTTTACTTCTGATGAAATACAGTATAACGCAATGCAACACAAACACAATAAAATAATGTATGATATTGCATAAGCAATAAAGATCACTCCTACCTGGGCGTTTAAAATTACTGTTCTCTAGAATTTGTCTGGTCTCTATGCCATCATCATTCTAGATGGCAACATCTTTTATTTCAAGCTTAGCATGGAGAAAGGAATAGGTAAGAAAGGAAAGGGGTTTAAATTCTGTTTATTCATAAGCTGCCACATAATACTTTGCTTTATATTTCACTGACTGTAACTTAGTTAGATTGCTACATCTAGCTGCAAGAGATTCTGGAAATATAGTCTTTATTCTGGAAGTCACCTGCCCACATAAAATTATGGGATAGGAGAACAGATACTGGGAAATCATTAACAGTCTCTGCCATACTGGGGACCTTGGGGACATTACGTTGTGTCCTTTCTCTACTTTGATGTTTGTTTGCTAGCTTTCAAGCAACAGAATTACAAAACTCTTTTTCCATACACTTTCTCCAAATTCTACTATAAATATCTTCTATGACAATAAAAAACTTCTGATAAATAAATTTATCATGGTAAACATATAGACTTTAAGTACATAAATTTATGGTAAAGAGACCCCTCCAGTACTTCTTTTCTTAATGTCTTATAGTTTCATCAAGTATTAGAAGGACCTTTTGTGATCTCTACTTGAATGTTTTTCTAATTTCACTTTTATAAAAGAAACATCCACATATAATGTCAGATTTGCTAGATATATGAAGTTTTCTGAAATCTCACTGCTCTGAAAGAAATGTTTTTCTAAAAATCAAATGTACACATTGGGAAAATGTTCAAATCAATGTACTAGTTGTTATGTTCAAAATTCCATTACTGTTAAAGAGATTTGCAGGCGTAACTTGCACAGCAAGTTACTCTGAAATTTTTCCCAGCTGTGTCCTTGAAAGATGGATACTTCTTTTTTTTTTTCGTTTAAGAAAATCATTTTATCTGAGCAGTTGCTTTTCAATTTATCCTTTTGTACGTTGATGACATTTATTCTACACAAAATGTTGGACTTACATGTAAAGGAAAAAATAAGGTATTTGTCCACTGCATCTGTATGAGTCATAAACAACTCATCGACATGAACTTTAGCACCTTAACATAGTTCTAGTATGGAACTTCTGCATAATTCATCATAAAAGAACATAAGGCATTCAGAAGTCAGTGTTCATTCAAAGATGTGCTGCAGTATTAGCAGCACAGGAAATATGCCTTCTCTATACAGAATTTACACAAGGTAGCTGATAAGTTTTATGGTTCATAATGGAGTTATTTTGATCCCTTTTTAGTTGTTTGAGAATATCTTGAAAGTAATACATTAAGATAAATTATATTGAAATCAATTTTCTTAACACATTATATATTTGTATACATTTCCTTGGAAGGTTAGTTAATAGCAATTTTATTCAAATTTCTTTAAAATATTGTTTGAAAAATAGGTAATAAATTAACATTCAAAGAACAAAATGGTAGAAAGGTATACACCCTTTAAATATTGTGAACATGATTTTTATTGCTACATGATAAGAAATAGAAAACTGATTTATATCACGCATGAGTCCTACTGTTAGTATTTTATAGTATTAGAGTTAATGCCTTGGCCATTTTCTTTAGTTCAACTCTCGCTAAGGCAGGAGACGAAGTCCCTATCAGGATTACCTGCAGGAACATTTGCAAAACACTCCTGAACACCACTATCTACCAAAACTGTGCCTTACTGAGCCACAGAGTATTATCTTTGATTGGACTATTTTGTGTCCTTCTGTTTGGGACATAAATAGGGATGGAAACCCGTTTTCTAGACACTCTAACACACATAAGGTTTCCATTTTTAAAAGTAATTATCAGTTCTTTAAAGCAAAAATATGTATATATTTATTGATCAACCTAAGTAAAAGCAATAATGGTATGAATAAAAACTGTTGATATACAACACAAAACTTTTTTTTTTTTTTTTTTTTTTTGGAGACAGAATCTCACTCTGTCTCCAGGCTGGAGTGCATTCAGTGGCATGATCTCGGCTCGCTGCAACCTGCACCTCCCGGGTTCAAGCAACTGTCTTACCTCAGCCTCCCGAGTAGCTGGGACTACAGGCGTGTGCCACCATGCCCAGCTAATTTTTGTATTTTTAATAGAGATGGGGTTTCACCATGTTGGCCAGGATGGTCTCAATCTCTTGACCTCGTGATCCACCCACCTCAGCCTCCCAAAGTTCTGGGATTACAGGCGTGAGCCACCACGCCTGGCCACAAAACTTATTTTAATAGATACTGACTTTACACTAGTAATAGGATAAGGATTTCAACCATTGGGAAAAGAGATGATCTCATTCTTGTGTGTTTGTTAGTAGCATTGTGCTGTCTTTCATATAAAGCAGGCTTAGAGTGCTTATGAATTCTGCCCTCAAAGAGCTTACAATATTTCATCAATTTCTTTGACTAAGAACAATTTATGAAGGCAGCTCAGCTGAGGGTCGTCCAACAGGTAGGGAAATGAGAGCCTCTGGCCTGAAGTGGAATGTGAGTGGTACACACCAACAGCCACTCCTTGTTTTGTTTTAAGTTAGGGATTTTATGTATGGCTAATCTGAGTTTTGTGGAAATACTAAATGAAAGGAGGAAGAATAATTTATTGGGGTTAGAAAGATTTTTCAAATCACTAGGTCAAACTTGAAACAAACAAACACGGGAAATCCTTTACATAACTAAGTGTAGAAGAAAAGTTACAGTGCAATCAGAAACCCCCTTACTTAAGGGAGATAGGAGAGTTTGTGACAAATGAACTTAAGCATTTATAGAAAATCTGTTAATAGTGACACAATAGTCCCCCTTGAGACTCTTTGCCGTGTGTACCTACCTATCTTCTCCAGTGTTATTTCTTTTGGCATAACTCCCAGTTTGTTTGTTTGTTCATTTGTTTGTTTGTTTGTTTGTTTTACTACTCAACATTTACTGGAATCAACATTAATTTCACAAATTTGAGATATTTCTCATGCTGTTTTTCCACCTCCCCTTTCTCTGTTTCAAGTCCTCCCATTCTTAATGTTCCATTTCAATCCCCATTCTCTGCCAAGCCTTCCCTAGTTACCTACACCTCCAGTTCCCTCCCCTCTTGAAACACTTCCCTACATTGTTTTGGCAATTTACAGCGTGAGCCACTGCACTACTCCTCTCTCTCTCTCTCTCTCTCTCTCTCTGTCTCTGTTATTTTATTTATCCTATTAAAGTTTTTGTTCTTTTCATTTTTACCATAAAGGCATAAATAATGTACTATATATATGTATATACTATATACACACATACACTGCCTATAAAATATGTACTATATAGCATCCATATATATGTATAATATATTATTAATTATATGCCAAAATATCCCTGTACTTTGATATTTGCTTTTCCCCAGTTATCATGACACCTTATGAAATTTATGGACAAATTTAGATATAAATTTAGATTTGGACAAATTTAGTTTATTCACTTTAACTGTATATACCATTTTATTATATATTTTAAAATTTTATTTTATTTGCTAATATCTCTGATGATAGTTCTTTGGGTTGTTTCTAATTTCTCATTATTACAACAAAGCTATAACACACATTCCTGGACATTATTGACAATATTTATTAGAGCTTCCTGATAAGACAATGAGTTCCTTAAAGGAAGAAGTGCTTTTTAAAATTTCCCACTTGAAAACTAGCATACAACTGACTGCATCATTGCAATACTCTGCTGACAGTTTGGATGGAGAGCAATGAACCTGGATCCAGAAGCAGGAGCCTCTGTTCTATATATAAAAAGAAACTACTGGGCAGGAAGGGATTCCAACTATGATTATTTGGTATCCCATGCTAACTTCTCATAATACAGGTTCTATCAACTAAGATTGTGTTGCATTCTCCTTTACTTCTGTAAGACTCACCCTGATTTATTTTATTTCACTGTTGTATGGCACTTTACTGATATATTCAGAATGCTGAAGTCCTTTGGAAATAACACCATCTTCACCCATACAAAGGTAGCTTTATATTCATTTCCCTTCTGGTGGTTCATTTATAGAAGCACATGATTTATTGCCACCTTAACAAATTATTCTGAGTGAAGAAAGTATCTCTTCATTCAACTGTGCTTTCTTAGAAACATTTCTTACAGCATTTAAGTGGGTTGGTGATGTGGCCATCTCTCATTTTGACCACTGCACAACTCCTCCTTGGTCTTCCTGCTAAACGTTATCCATCCTCTAATCAATTGCCAGTCTGCAGCTGACAAAATGATCCTTTTCTCCAATTGCTTTGACTGTAATTCTTTTCTCATTTCTTTCCTCCCATAGCTGCATAATCTAGTCATTAGGCTGGAGAATATCAGCTCTCATCCCACAGCTTTTCATCAAAGAGTGTTAGATTTGTTTTCTCTGTCCTTACCCATACCCTCTTTACTGATATTGCCTGGCAGTCTTACCACATCCCTTTTTACATTCAGCCTACTTGCCTCCTTTTCTCTTCAGAGCATTCTCTGCCTTGGCTTACAAGAACTTTGTCTTCTTTCATTACACTTTTAATAGAAATTTGGTACGATTTTATAATTTATAAAATGAACAGAGGGAAATGGGAAAAAGAAATAAGAACATAATGTTATCAACTCAGTATATGTACTATCGTAGTGTTAGTATATTTCTTTTCTTCCGCATTATATTAAAAAATTCAGTATCAAGTTTATATCTAATTTGTATCTTTTTTCTAAGTACTATATTATAAGGATTTTATAAATATAAAACATTTTTGTATGAACAGCAATTTCCCAGAGGAAAATAACAGTACATGGTGATACACTATAAAGTATTCCATTTAATGATATAGTTAAAAATAAAATTAATAATGTGACTGAATTATTCTGGCAATTAAAAAGAATTATCAATTATCAGCAATAGATGGAGTCATCCAGAGATGGGAAGATGAAATCTTTTTAAATAAGACAATGTCATGAGTAGACATGCTCTGTATAAGAAACAAATGCATAAAGAATCTGGTAAAAAGCTAGACTGGAGGAAACAGAATACTCGTATACACATAGGAAGGAAGCAGATATTTTATGTTCAAAGTCAAGTCTTTAGCACCAAGGAGTATTTGTTGTTATATAACCAAACCTAAAATTAGCATTTGAAAGACTTAACAAGGAATATTTTCTCATGTAAAATGTTATTCAGTTCCAAATTCCTTATGTATTAAGAGATGCATCAGCATATCAAGAGTGGGGTCATTTCAAGAAAGGACTGTGGAAATAACCTTTGTTACTCCTAAAGAAATTGCAAGTTCCTAGATGATTAATAATAATTGTTTATATTACTATAGCAAAAGTGTTATAAGGTCACTTTTGTATTAATTATCTCCTTTTATGTTCTCAACAGAGTTGTAAAGTAGGTTTTATAATCATCCTATTTATAAATGGATAAACCAAGGTCGGGGAAGTTAAGTGATTTACTGAAGATGGTGAAGTTAGTAATGGGTATACAAACCTGGACTACTGATTTATTCTGTTTTTTTGTTTGTTTTTTGTTTTTTTCTAAAGTGCTGCTTTTTCTAATAATTTTAGGGAGGTAGGCTTTGGGAAGAATGTCAGAGAATGTAAAGAGCTCAACTTTGAATTTTTAATATTATTCCCTTCTTGGTTGTTTGATATGTGTCCAGCTATGTAGAAAGTATGTTTTCTAAGCTTTCGCAAAGAAACGCTTCAGTGAATATGAAATGTCTTCTCAGCCTTACAGCTATTATTCTGATGTCCTCTGGCAATTACTTTTGTAAAGAAGACAGAAGCCCTTTGCTTCTTTTGAAAATTATCAACCTGGATGCTTCTAAGATTTTAAAATAGATTCTTAAAATATTAAACCTTTCGAACTCCTGCTTAATTGAGGATTCATTAATGTTGTCTGTGAGGTGGTGAGAATGTGTAATCCTCATATTAAGTACATTTTTCATTTCAAAATTTATTTTTAGTTATTACAGCCAGAATTATGCTTGATTTTCCCTCTAACATTCCCAAGGTCAATCCTCAACTCCAATCTATCATATATGTCATCTTCTTTCCCAGTGTTTTAATTCAGATGTCATAGTATCTCCCTATTTCCTGGGAGCTTTTCAATTTCCTCTAATTCCTTTATATGGGTTCTAATATCAGAGATGCTCTTTATTTCTAACTCAGATTTTAGCTATTCAATCACATTTTTAATTTCCTTGCATTTCTTTTTTACTTCATACATTTTTATCATGTATTTCTTATTTATTATTTTTACTTGATTTTTTCATTTCTCTCCTCCTATTTCATTGAGTCCACCTATCTTGTATCTTATTGAGTATATGACTAAGAAAATGTCCTGTGTAGGGTAATTAGTATGTATGGCAAAGCCCTATCTATGTTTTTGTTTTGTTTACTCATCCACGAATGAGGAAATTTTATCCAATGTTTGTGTTTTCCAACAGAGTGCTCAGATCACATTTGATTCCACTTTCTGGCAGCATGAATGTTGAATAAATGCCCCTCATATGCAAATGAAAGGGAGGAAAATGTGCATATTTCCTGAACCAGTTCCTGGTGTCTAAATGGCATGCAACTACTATAGACCTGTTAGAATACGATGCAGTTTTCTATTCTCACCATCTTTTGGCCTGATAGTCTGAATAGAGGAAGTACATAGAAGAGAGTAATACCTAATTTTTACAAGGGCAATGCCTGTATTAATTGTGTCTATTTTACTTTAAAGTGTTCAAATTTCCTTCCTGACACTGCAAGCAAGTGCCAATTCTCCATATAACAAGGTGTATAATGTACCTAGAGTATATGTGCTCTAGGTAAGATAAACATACAAGTTATTGTCCATAAAAGGAAAAATTGAGAATGAAAGAGCTCTCTATTAATAGTTATGTCAGGGCCCCAGAACATACTAGGATTGTCCCTGGCAAACTGGGAAGTATGCTCACCTAAATTCTAAAACTGTTCAGATGGATAAAGAAGAGGTTCTTAGATCTAAAAATTCGTTGGCTAAAGAATAATATTCTGCTCCTTGAAAACATAGCCACTATGTGGTAGAAGGATGGACACTAAGTTTTCAAGTGAGTGGCACATGCCTTGCACATTTGGAGCAACCAAGAGACTCCTGTACACATTTTAGTTTTGTGATGCTGGAATTTTGCTCTTGCAATTGCATAGGAAGGGAAAATAAATAATTCTTTACGTCAGTTTAGTTATGTTGGTCTTGTAGTTCAGATATATTTTCCTGAAATGCTTCTGATATGTTGATGAGTCCCATTGTCCAATTTTATCATGAGCTTTCATTTTTTTTCTGTCTCCATAATTATATTGTTGAATAGCAGGAGAAAGTAAATCAGGCCATGCTAGCAATATGTCATTTGAATTTCTGTTTCTATTTCATTCAACTTGATAATATATGTTCTTAATCATGTGCTGAAATCTACTTCACATTAACTCTTTATGTATTGTGTTTAATAAATATATGTTCAGTTTTTGCCATCACTTTTTGTCATAGATTAGCAGCTCCCACAGGGTATGAAACAACAAATTGACTCAATAAAAATTTATGTTGATTATCTACTATTGTACCATATTTTTTAACTTACTTGAAATATATTCAATACACTTTACCCAAATGAATAGATGTCAAATATTTTACTGCTAGTAACAAAGTATGTACCATAAAGTGAAACATTCCTAATTGTCTTATTTAGTTTTATTAGTGACCACCTTAAAGTTCACTCTAGTGATTTAAATATATTACCGGGTTTACCATGATGCACACCTAACCTCTTAATGGCTGACTGTGTCAATATTGGGCATAAGCCAGAAGGATACTGCTCCCAATGTACAAATAAGCCGGCGGCTGCTTCGAAGGCATGTAATGAAATGATAAAGTGTGCTTAAGCAGAAGAGATTTCAAAATGTAAAATTGTGTTTTCACCCTCATGATCTAGTTTTAAGTAATATATTACTTCTCTATTATATGCAACCTTGGCTATTTTATTGATAAGAAGAAATTAAATTTGCAGAGTAGTCACTTACTAGTGCAAATTTAATACATGAAGTTTTCTTCTCACTAAATTTCTTGTGGCTGGTTGGATTATCGTGATCTTTTATTCTAT